>NC_000009.12:60829521-61003887 GCF_000001405.40 Homo sapiens | reverse complement strand
GAATTCATACTGGGGAAAAACCCTATGAGTGTAATGAATGTGGGAAAACGTTTGCTGATAATTCAGCCCTCAGGGCACATCACAGAATTCACACAGGGGAGAAACCCTATGAATGTAATGACTGTGGGAAGACTTTCTCCAAGACATCACATCTCAGAGCACATCTTAGAACTCGCTCAGGGGAGAAGCCCTATGAATGCAGTGAATGTGGGAAAACCTTCTCTGAGAAGTCATATGTTAGTGCACATCAGAGAGTTCATACGGGGGAGAAACCCTATGAATGTAATGTATGTGGGAAGCCATTTGCCCATAATTCAACCCTCAGAGTACATCAAAGAATTCACACAGGGGAGAAATCCTATGAATGTAATGATTGTGGGAAAACGTTCTCCCAGAAATCACACCTTAGTGCACACCAGAGAATTCACACAGGGGAGAAACCCTATGAGTGTAATGAATGCGGGAAAGCTTTTGCCCAAAATTCAACTCTCAGAGTACACCAGAGAATTCACACAGGGGAGAAACCCTATGAATGTGATGAATGTGGGAAAACTTTTGTCCGTAAGGCAGCTCTTAGGGTACATCACACCAGAATGCATACCAGAGAGAAAACCCTAGCATGTAATGGATTTGGGAAGTCCTGAGGGAATGCATACCTTACCACATAACACGTAGTGCAGAAACTCATGTGACATAGGCTGGGAACTTGTTTCCCTTATCCATTTCCTTTTTCATTAGGCTCATAGTTTGTGGAAAAATCCCAATATGCCGTTTATTCAGGTGGGGCTGACCATGGGATATGGTGCTAATGATATATATTACATTTACTCTTGGCCCTTAAAAAAAAAAAAGAAAAACCCTCACAGTCTTCCTGGTTCATAATATGGATTTGGAGGTTATTTCTGCAGCAAACTTGGGTCCTGTGTGTTCAAAACCATAAAGCACAAGGTCAAGGAAGCTAGAGTCTGAAAAACGAACAATTCACTTCCAGGTCTTCATCAGGGTTTTGTTTTTGTTGCTTTAAAGCAAGAGTTAAGTTTATAGTCTGTTAAGCTCTTACAAATTTGGCTTATTAGTTAAATGGACGTAGTTTAGCTTAAACTTTATGTTAGAGTGAGATGAAACCCTATGAATATAATCAGTTTTAGAAAAACTAATCAGTTTATTGTGCATCAGAGACGTCACATGAAGAAGAAAACTTGTTGACATCCAGGATGATCAGGAGCCTTCATTAAAACAGAAATTTTAGGGAAAACCACAAAAACCTTCGTAAAGTGAATTGCATTAAACATCAATTATAATAAAATTTCATATTTTGAATAAATGACATTTTTCCTAGGTATTTTTTTCTGAGGAAATATGTCAGTTTTAGAATTGGAGATAAAATATTCACCTAGAACTGATGTACCAAGCTTCTGTTTTGTAATATCAAAAATTTTATAGAACATATATAAGAAAATATTTACCTATAGAAAAACTCACTGTAGAATGTGAAGTTAAAAATGGAATAATTTGAATTCTGTGGAGAATATGAATAAATGTGAATAGTTTGAGCTCTGTGGAAGATCTTTTAGTCTGTATATAAACGTTGTAACTCACTGGTGAGTTCTAGTGGGTGCTAACAGCCAAACCTGCACTGGGCATGTCCACTTCCTTTTCTGAGTGACTGTGTCCTCTGTTGGCTTCCCTCAATGCTGTTAGATTTTGGCCTGCCTGCTATGTCTGGATATTAATTAGTCTTGTCCTAAAACTAGTCTTGCCTATTCTTCTAGGACCTTGGAGATAGCTGAGATTTCCCCAGTCACCTTGTGTGTTTGTGTGTTTGGAGGGGGGCGCCAGGGAGGACAGGGTGATTCTTATATACTTTTTGTTTGCCTTTATTTTAATTTTATCCCACTCCACTTACTCATTTTGCACAGGATGATTATAAAGCAACTGGTCTCCTCTCCTCCGTTGTATGCATATAGCCTCAGCATCCTGTTTGGAATATTTTCCTCCAACATCATGATGCCTCCTCACACTGCATCACAAACCAGAAATACCAGTTTGGTATTTCTACCAAACTAAGACAGCAGGTTTTGGAATTGGAATGAAAAGGACTACTTTGTCCCAGAAGTACAGTCCTGGTACGAGAAAGCAGACTCACTTTTGGTAAAACAATATAATGTGGCATAATCTTAGCCAAGAAAGCATTTAGTTAATGTGCCATTATTTTAGCCTACGGTTTGATGAGCACAGAAAAGAAAGTAGACAAAATCATTTTTAAAACCTAGACCAGTAACAATTTTCCCCAGCCCTGAGCATCTTGCTTTCTGCAAGTTTGATCTGATAGGTTAAGCATGAGGACAATAAATCAGTTGACCCAAGAAAAATGTCTCTAATTCCCATCCCTTGTTATATTGTGGGCAAGGATAGTGTGAGGGAGAATGATGGCATCTTTAGAATTAGTTAGAGGACAGGTATTTCCTTGACACTGTTGTTAACAGTTAATTGAGTAGCATCACTGCAAAGATGAGCCATGAAAGAAGAGCCCACCTTTAGACGAGGACCATATCAGCACCTCCAGGGCTGGCACATCAGACACTGAGGGGCTACTTTGGGCAGCTCATGAGGAAAAAGGAATGATGAAGGAGTTGGTGTGGGACTGGCCCTGGCGCTGCTTACCTTCCTCAGGTACTTACCGCTCCTGGCAGAAAGGTGCCATCTGTTATGGAAATATGTTTCCTTCTTTTTTATTCTCCTTAGTCTCTGATACCATGATGCTACTTGAGCTTACTGCACAGTGCCCAAGGGAATTGAGGGTCAAAAAGCATGCCTTTCTGCATGCTTAATTTTCAGAAAAGTATAGATGAAAAGGAGTACTCTTTTTTAAAAGAATTATTTGAGAATGTATTTACAGAAAAATTACAATGATAGTTTGTATATACTCCTCACCCAGTTTTCCCTATTAGCATATTACTATGGTATGTTTTTATAACTAAGAAACATTGATAACATTATTAACTAGACACTTTTTTTTTCAGATTTCACTAGTTTTTCCTTATTGTGCTTTTCTACTTCATGATCATGTTTGGGCTCAGAAAAGGATACGCTAAAGTGAAGGCCTCAGAAGCTACGTTTTCTCTGTCAGTTATGGACAGGTAACTCCCTAGGCAGTGAAGCAAGTGACACCTTGAGAAATGGCCACAAGGCCTAAAACTACAGAACTGCCACATTACAAAAAAATGTGGTACTTTAACAGTGGCAATTAAACAACAGTCAATTGCTAAGGAAGGCTCACAAGGCCCAAAATGACAGTGCTTAAATATCTACCATTTATTAAGGGAAAGGGTACAACATAGCAATACCATTAAAGTCAGTATTTACATCACAGCCAAAGGCTGCCTCACAGCAAGGGGTCTGGGTAAGGGCCATGCACAAACTCCATTTTTCCTTGTGCAAGTGTTATATGGACACAATTTCACTATCACATAAGGATTCAACATGTGCACAAAACACATCAGAAACCCCAAAATGGATTCTCTGCTGGTGTCTCTTATACTCTGCTGGACACATAGGCATATTCTTGCTAGGCAACAAGCCCCAACAGCAGAGGACTCTGAAGGTTCCAGTGAGACCAGGCATAAATCAGTCTCACTGTTAACGGTAAACACTACTGATGCACAGTTAAAACCTGCTCCCAAACATCTTGGACTCATGGATGAAAAGCAGCACTATTAATCAGTATGTTTTATTCCTTGACCAATGATCAGTGATAAGCAAACTCTGCAGTTCACACTAATTCCAGGTCTGCTGGGCTTACCTTTTACAGCATTCCACTCTACCCCATAATTTTTGGTCAGAGCCTTTTACAACAAAACAATCACTCTTAGTTTGATGGAATCATTTGGCTTTCAACAGCATATAATCAATTGGTGATCAAAACGCACATACAGGTTTGAAAGAATTGTAATCACCCCTGAGGGGTTGTGAATTTAAACCATCCTGTAATGCCAACAGGAAGTGCCACATATTTTATACATTTTTCTTCTCCCTGATCTTCAGCTATCTGTATTGTATGATATACATCAATTGAGATTTATACTTCTATTAGTATACATTTATACTAATTGAATTCTCTGTGAAACAAGAACCATATGAGACAGCCACATTAGTATTGTTTCACAGAGTCATTGCCTGAGCTCCAATCTGTTTATTGATTAGAAGGACATAGATCAATAGTGGAAGTATATTTATTAGATTGGTCATTTTACAGCTTCTTCATTTTTTTAAAGTGGAAGAAGTTTTGGCAGTCTTTTGCCCCAGAGGACATCTGAGTCAAAGCTAAGAGAGCATGTTATTCACTTGTTGTAAACCTCTCTTAGGACATCAAAATTATCTTTGATTTTTCCCTTTTGTAAGACACACTTGCTGGCTCTCTTCACTCAGCCTGATTCACTTTTCTCTCATTTATCATTAATTTTAAAACAAACCTTTCCTCCTGAAGTCAGTAACTCATTTGGCTATAGTGACAGTAGCAAGATGAGACATGCCAGGACTTCTTCATTTGTCCATTCGCACACATATGGGGATGGATTGGATAAGTGCAGAGAAATAATGGCTACTCCGCCCAATAGGCAGCACAGCATTTGCATAGGCAGTCCCAACTTGCCGAGATGCAGACAGAGTATCATCCACCCCATTAATCTCTTTGGAATTCTTGTCATTAGTCAAAGTAATAGGCATACTGTCTGGTTTTGTAATATTACCAGACACTTGGACCTTAATTTTAGCCCCATTATAGGGACTTCCAGATCCAGCATTGGAAACAACAAAATTGTTGTGAAGTAGAGAAGAGTTGTATATAAATTCCCTTTTATTTTCTACCTTCTCCAATGCCACCACAAAAACATACCCATTTATCCAACCAAGACCCATCCTTAGTCCTCTCACGGTGAGTTGAAAAACCGTACTGGAGATTCGTAGATCAGCTCTCGGCTCTCCAATCCTTTGTCAGATCTCATATTTTTAAGCAAATATTTTAATTACTCATTTCAATTGTTTATCAAACCATTACTTTGAGGTTAATATGGAATACAATATTTCTTTCCACAGCATTGCACTGCATGGGCAGTCAAGTGAGTAACTTCATCTGAAGAAATGTAACAAACAGGATAAACTGATACAGAATATTTTGTACTGGTCCTTTGATAATATTAGAAGCATTCAGTCATTGGCTACTTGAAGCTAACCCCAGAAAATGTATCAAGTTCTGTCAATATCCAATTAACTTCATTCAGAACAATCAATACTCATTTAACTATACCAAGAGTAAGCAATACTTAACAGTTAGTTACTAGAACCTCCAATGAAAATTTAGGTGTTACTCTTGCTGGAGTTGTCTTATATGCGATGAGCCGTTTTTCTCTTACTTCTTTCAAAATTTTCTCTATATAGCATTCAACATTTTTACTATGATGTGTCTTGGTGTGAAGCATTTTGTGTATATCCTACTTGGGGTTTGTTGAATTTTGTAGATGTTTAATGTTTATTCTCAAATTTGGGACGTTTTCAGATATTATATCTTTAAATACATTTTTCTGCTTTTTGCTCTCTCTTGTCCTTCTGGTAGTCTTTTCATGCATATATTGGTGTGTTTAATGGTGTCCCACCTTCTTCTGAGGTCCTCTTCATTTCTGTTTGTTGGATTGCATACTTTCTATCCACTTATCTTTTAAGTTTTCTGATTCTTTCTTCTGCCAGTTCAAATCTACTGTTGAGCCACTTAAGTGAAACTTTGATTCAGTTAATGTATATTTCAACTCAAAAATTTTTGATTCTTTTTATAATTCTCTTTATTGATATCCTCTTTTTAATAAGCCATTGTCATCGTATCTTTCTATACCTCTTCAAACCTGGTTACCTTTAGTTCTCTGAACATTTTTAAATTTTTAATTTTTGTGGGCACCTAGTAGGTGTGTATATTTATGGGGTGCATGAGATGTTTGGATACAGGCATGCAATGTGAAATAAGCACATCATGGAGAATGAGGTATCTATCCTCTCAAGCATTTATCCTTTGAGTTACAAACAATCCAGTTACACTCTTTAACCCATTTTGCATTTAGGAAAAAAGAAAGTTGCAGCTCACTGCCAGTGCAGTATTCTTGGGGCAAATGGGAAATGGGTTATTTTAAAATATGCTATTTTAAGTTATTATTGACTGTACTCACTCTGTTGTGCTACCAAATAGTAGGTCTTATTTATTCTTTCTAACTATTTTTTTTTTTTTGTACTCATTAACCATCCCAACCCTCACCCCACCCTCCCACTACACTTCCTAGTCTCTGGTAACCATTAGTTCTCTGAACAAAATTTATAACTGCTTTGAAGTCTTTGTCTGCCAAATCCCACATCTGGGCCTTCTCATAAGCAGTTTATATTACCTGCTTCTCTTTTCCTACCTATAGGTAATACTTTTCTATTTTCTTGCATGTCTTACAATTTTTTTGTTGAAAATTGGATATTTTAAATAATACATTTTAGCAACTCTGGATACTAATTCCCCTGACCACGGGGCTTGGTTGTTTTGTTGTTTGCTTGGTTATTGAGTGACTTGGATGGACTATTTTGGTGAAATCTATTCCCCAACAGTAGCAAGCCTCTAATGTCACTCCTCAGAGGGCACAGCTTTGGGCACTGGCACAGTCACCTTGGGATGACAGTAGTTTTAGCAGAACTCATGTAGGATGTCTCTTTTCCTGTTCTCTCTGTTAAGCTGTCTGACTCTGTTGGTCATACCCAGCTGTTAATGTTCACTAATTTCCAGCTGATTTCTTTCTTGTGCATGACAGTATCCTGGGCCAAAAGTTCCCCATGTTTAATCCAATTAAATTTGGGTTCCTTTTCAGGGGTAGATTTTGAAGTTTGTTCTGACCCCAGGAGGGGTCTTTGTGACTGGCTCTTTACCTGGTCTTCCTAACTAGCTGGCCTATAGTTTGGCTTATTATCATGGAGCTGCAAGCCTCCTCTTAATTTCTTACCAACAAAATCTCCATTGTTTTCAAGAGTTCCCTTAGAGTGGAACTCCTCCAACTCTGTTTTAAATAAAGTCAGAACCTTTGGGAAGAGCATCAGAGCTCTCTGTTTTTATAACCTCTCCCCCAGGAAAAAAATCTCTTTGCCACTTCTCTAGAGCTGGGACTGGAGACAGTGGCCCATTTTTCTCAAAGTGACACTGCTGTTTTTGTGGGTGGAAGGTGCTGGTGAGGGCAGTAGTCTCTGAACTTCTCAGCTTACCTCTCTGGTCTGGAATCTTTCCCTCTGAGCAAGCTGGGGTGAAGGTATCAAGGTCTCATCATTCTCACCCTGCCATGCATGAAATGGAGCCTTTGAGTGGGGGACAGAGGAGCCTCTGAGTGGGGGATAGAAGGAAGCTTCTGACCGCTTGGCTACACTCACCTGGAATTGAGCCTCTGTGCTAAGGAGTTGGGAGAATGAGCTATGCTGGTGGCCTTATCCTCCAAAGGAGCCATCATAGCTCTTGACTGAAAGCAGAGTATAGAGAGAACTCCATCTTTGTGGCCATACCTATCCAGAGTAGAGACTGTGTTACACTGAGCAGTGGAGAGGGAGTAGAGAGAGGGAATAGGTCAGGGCCCAAGTCTCCAATTCTCACTATTCTTACTGAGAATTTTATGAAGACATTTTTCACTTTCTGTATCCTCTTAAGTTGATTTTCAGAGATTTTTAAAGATTGTTATTTTTAAGATAATTTAAACCAGTTATAGTTGTTTCACTGGAGAATATTTAAATAAAAATATTCAGATACCAAAATTCAAAATGTGTAATATCTAGTGAAAAATTACCAAGAATTCAAGGGAGAAAAATGTGATCCATAATAAGGATAAAATCAATCATGACAGAAGACTCATAATTAACACAGATGATAGAATTAGTAGACAAGAACACTTAGAATGCTACTGTCGAACTTCTTGCTTGAGCAGCAATGTGTAAATAGATTGCAAGTTGTCACTTCAGTTCTTACAACAAGTAGAGCCAGAAGAAACAAAAAAGCTTTTCTTTAAAGCCATCACAGAACTGAGGTCACAGGGCAAACTGTTACCCAAAAATCTAGAGAGATAAGCACTTCTAGAGATATATAGCTGAGACCTGCTTACCTAGAGCACAGGCCACAAAAACCATAAGCTGGTAGAAACTCTTCGGTGGTAATTTTGATGCATTATTGGAGGCTTAGTGTGAATATGATAGGGACAGGAGGCAGAGGAATTCTGGGCTGGAGAGGGTGAGTCCTTGGCAAAAACCCCACCCTGAAGCCAAAAAGCCTAATACCATGGTCCAAAGTGAGAACTTACATCCCTGTTTTCCCACTCGAATGTTGCCTTTTCCAAAACCACCCATGGCCTGCCTCACCACCCCATTCTGTGCCCATAAAAACCCCAGGCTCAGATAGGCATGGTGGCTCATGCTTGTAATCCCAGCACTTTCGGAGGCCGAGGCAGTGGATCATGAGGTCAGGAGATTGAGACCATCCTGGCTAACACAGTAAATACCTGTCTCTACTAAAAATACAAAAAATTAGCCAGGCATGGTGGCACACACCGTCTGTAGTCCCAGCTACTTGTGAGGCTGAGGCAGGAGAATCACTTGAACCCAGCAGGCAGAGGTTGCAGTGAGCCAAGATCGTGCCACTGCACTCCAGCTTGGGTGACAAAAGTGAGACCCCATCTCAATTAAAAAAAAAGAAAAACCCAGGCTCAGCCAGCAGAGAGAGGAGAAGAGAAGAAGCAGCTGGACTTTAGAAGCTATTGTTTGATGTTGAAAAGAAGCAGTTTGACTTCAGAGGGACAGCTTGACAGCATAGGCCAGAAGGAGGAGTCTGGCCTGGGATGGCTGGACTTCAGTGGAGGAATACCTTCCCACTCTGTCCCCTTTCCAGCTCCCCTTCCTGCTCAGAGCCACTTTCATCGGCAATAAAATCCCCCACATTTACCGTCCTTAATTCATTTGTGCAGCTCCATTCCTCCTGGATGCCAGACAAGAACTCAGGGGCCACAAGTGCAGGTATAAAGGCTGTCTCACTGAGCCTCCACTGAGCTGTTAACACTTAAGTCATCCATTGATGGCAAAGCTAAAAGGGCACTGTAACACTCCTTCTGGGGCATCAGGGGTTGCAGGCACCCTCCTGTAGATGCTGTCATGGGGCTCGTATGGAGTTCACGCTTGCCGATGTCCAATAGCGCTAGCTCCAGCTCTGGCACCCAGTCTCCTGCATGCTCCCCCTCCCATGAGGGGTGGAGCATGGCGGGCCAAGTAAGTGGAGTTTGCCCCTGCCAGTGCCTCTGTGCACTCCATTTCCTGCCTGTGAAGGGGGCCTGCTTCAATTACTTTGAGTAGGAGAAACTTCTTAGTTCTAAGGGCCCCAGTTTTAGGGTGGCTCTAACACTTTAATAGGTTTTACCTTTAGGAACTCCAACAGGGCTCAGGGTGGAGATTTAAGAAAGATCCCTCATGGTTATAGTTGGAAAGGGGAAGAGGAATCACTATAAAATACACTTAGAAACTTCTCCAAAAAAAGCACACTCACCAGGAGAAAATATTTTGTAAGAGCCTTATCCTGGTTGGTGGAATGAAATTCTTCCCACTCCAGCCAATTTCAGCCTTCTTGTATCACTAAGGAGGAAAAACAGAATTCAGAGCTTCAAAAAAAATAGATTGAAGATTCTGTAACCTGGGAAAGGATTGAGGGCTGGGGATAAGAAAAGCTATACACCATTGGAGAAGAGTCAGAAATACTTGTAAAGTTCACAGTCCTGGACATAGCCACATAAAAAGCTGAGATTTAAATGGAAGATTACAGAGCACTCTCTCTCCCCTAGACCACACCTCTATCCCAACAGAATCCCACAGCATTACATAGTGAATTATAGCCAAAAGAGTTCCAAGAAACAGACTCTCTCTGGAGAGCAGTAACTTGGGAAGCCCAAAGTCAAGAGGAGACAAAAAGGTGGGCAGCAGAGAAATTTGCAGCATTTTAGATGTATAGGTAGAGAAAATACTAAACATAGCTTAATTCCTAGCTATAAATCCCCACGTTGCAGGTCTATTTACCTCAGTCCATATTACCCAATACAGACAAGAAAAAAATTACAAGGCATGACAAATGACAAGAAAAAAGTCACAACAAAACACTATCAGAAGCAGACTGAAGTATGATACAACTATTGGAATTTTCCAGACAGAAAATGTAAACTAATTGTGATTAATATATTAAGGACTCTAATGGAAAAAGTAGACCACATGCAAGAACAGATAGGTGATATAAAAAAAGAGATGGAAACTCTAAGAAAGGAAAAATAAAAGAAATACTAAAATTGGGTTAGGATTAATATCAGAATATATAAAAAACTCATACAACTCAACAGCAAGAAAAAACTCTTAAATATCCAACTTAAAAGTGAGCAAAGGACTTGAATAGACATTTCTCCAAAGAAGATATGCAAATGACCTGTAAGAACATAAAAGGATCATTAAGAAAATGCAAATCAAAGCCACAATGAAAACCACATCATACCCACTAGGATGGCCAATATACATGTGCACATGCACACACACAATCATACATGTTGGCAAGGATATGAAAAAATTGATGGCACATTTTTTATGAGAATGGAAAAATGGATAGTGCAGCTGCCACAAAAGACAGTATGGTGGTTCCTCAAAAATTAAACATAGAATATCATATGATTCACCAATTCTACCTCCAGATATATATCCAAAGGAATTGAAAGCAGAGACTCAACAGATGTGTGTACACCAATATTTGTAATAGCATTATTCACAATAGCCAAAAGATGAAAACCATGCAAATGACCATCAATGAATAAATGGATAAACATTCAATAGAATATCATTCAGCCTTAAAAAGAATTATCTTGATATGGCTGCCATCACAAAGTACCACAGATTGTGAAGCTTAAACAACTGAAATTTATTTTACCACAGTCTGGAGCTGCAAATCCAAAATCATGTGTGTCAACAAGGTTGTTTCTTCTGAGGCCTCTCTCCAAGGTTTTTTCTGATTGTTTGTTTTGTTTTCGTTTTGTTTTTCTGAGACGGGGTCTCGCTCTGTCACCCAAGCACGATCTCAGCTCACTGCAAGCTCTGCCTCCCAGGTTCACACCATTTTCCTGCCTCAGTCTCCCGAGTACTGGGACTGCAGGTGCCCACCACCACGCCCAGGCTAATTTTTTTGTATTTTTTTAGTAGAGACGGGGTTTCACCGTGTTAGCCAGGATGGTCTCCATCTCCTGACCTCATGATCCACCTGCCTCGGCCTCTCAAAGTGCTAGAATTACAGACCGTGCCTGGACTCTCCAAGGTTTATTGGTATTTGTCTTTTCCCTCTGTCTTCACATGGTCTTTCCTTTGTGTGTGTCTGTGTCCTAATCTCTTCAATATGACACCACTCATATTAGCTTCATATCCATCTCTATGACCTCATTTTACCTTGATTACTTCTTTAAACGTTCTTTCTTCAAATATCACATTATGAGGTACTGGGGGTCAGGACTTCAACCTGTGAATTTTAGAGATACACAATTCGGCCCACAACATAAATGAACCTTGAAAACATTATGCTAAGTGAAATAAATGAGACATAAAAGGAGAGATATTGTATGATTACACTTACATGAGATACAAGAATAGTCAAATTCAGAGACAAAAAGTAGAAGAGTGGTTACCAAGTCCTGGGGAAAGGGTTGGAGGAATGCGGAGTTATTGTTTAATGCGCAGTTTTGGGATGACACGGAAGTTCTGAAGGTGGATAGTTATGATAAATGCACAATAATGTGTATATACTTAATGCCACTGAATTGAATATTTAAAAATCGTCAAAAAGATAAATTTTATGTTATGCATATTTTACCACAATAAGAAAGAAAACTCTAGAAATAAAAATATAGTAACAGAAATGAAGAATGCCTAGCAATGCATTGGAGGGGGAATAAATGGTATTAAAATTAAATCTTTTATTTTTCTTATCTTAATCTATGTAAAGTGTAACATTTAAAAATAATAGTATTACAATGTATTGCATGATTATCAAATATGAATAAGTGCAATTAATGATAGCAGTATTACAAGGGACATGAGAGAGAAGTTGAGAGTATTCTGTATGAGGTACCTATACTGTACACAAAGTAATATAATGACATCTGAAAGTGGACTGAGAGTACAGAATCGTATATTGTAAACTGTAGAGCAACCATTAAAAACCTTTTTAAGAGAAGTATAATTACTATTCTAAGAAAGGAAATAAAATGGAATCATATAAAATGATCAATTAAAAAGAAGACAGAAAAAGAGTAGGAAATAACAAACAGCAAATTCAATGAGCAGAAAACAATGACAAACATAGTAGATATCACTCCACCTATATGAATAATCACTTCAATTATGAATGGTTTAAAAATACCATTGTAACTGTACTCCATTTGCTTAAGAAGGTAGATGAAAAGCTATATACATTAAGGAGAGACATGGAAGATACAAACACTAAAATAAAACTTCTAAAGGTAAAAATACAATATCTGATATAAAAATTCATTGGATTAGATTAACAGCAGATTAAACATTGCAAAGGAAAAGATTCATGAATAAAAATCATAGCAACTGAAACTATACAACATGTCACACACAGATTTAAAAGACCGAAAATGATGAAGAGGGAATCTGTAAGCTAGATAAACTGCAAGCAGCTTAATAATATATGTAAGATTGGAGTTCCCAAAAAGTAGTAAAGAGGAGAATAATAAAAATGAGGGCCAGGTGCAGTGGCTCACACCTGTAATCCCAGCACTTTGGGAGGCTGAGGTGGGCGGATCATTTGAGGTCAGGAGTTCAAGACCAGCCTGGCCAACATGGTGAAACCCTGTCTCTAATAAAAATACAAAAATTAGCTGGGCGTAGTAGTGGGTGCCTGTAATACCAGCTACTTGGGAGGCTGAGGCATAAGAATTGCTTGAACCTGTGAGGTGGAGATTGCAGTGAGCCGAGATTGTGCTAATTCAACTCCAGCCTGGGCAATACAGCGAGACTCAGTCTCAAAAAACAAACAAACAAAAACAACAACAACGAATATTTGAGTACACAATGACTGAATATTTACAAATTTCATGGTAACTACAAATTCACAATTCCAAAAATCTCAATAAACTCAAACATGAAAAAATTACCAGGCACATTACAGTCAGATTGTTTAAGACTACTGATGGACAGCGTTAAATGCATCCAGATGTGGAGCACATGAGATACAAACTAACAAAGAATGAGATAAGAATGAAAGCATATTCCTCATTGAAAGAAATGCAATCAAGAAAACAAGTATAGCTTTTCTATAATACGGAAAGAAAATAAAAGTACTGAAATAGTTCTATAGTATTTGTACTCAGGGAAATCAGATTTTCACAAATGAAGGCAAAATAAAGAGCTTTTCAGACATGCAAAAGCTAAAAGAAATCAGTAGCAGAACCATATCACAAAGAAATGTTAATGGAAATTCTTCAGGCAGAAGGAAATGATACCCAGTGAAATCTACCTCTATTCAAAGGAATGAAAAGCATCAGAAATTATAGCTACATGAGTAAATATTTGTTTCTTATTATGTAAATTTCTTTTTTATTATTACTATTATTTTTAAATTATAGTTTCAGTTCTGGGGTACACGTGCACAACATGCAGGTTTCTTCACATATGTATACATGTGCCATGTTGGTGTGCTGCACCCATTAACTTGTCATTTACATTAGGTATATCTCCTAATGCTATCCCTCCCCTCTCCCCCCACCCCACAACAGGCCCCAGTGTGTGATGGGGGCCTGTGTCCAAGTGTTCTCATTGTTCAACTCCCACCTATGAGTGAGAACATGCGGTGTTTGGTTTTCTTTCCTTGCGATAGTTTGCTCAGAATGATGGTTTCCAGCTGCATCCATGTCCCTACAAAGGACATGAACTGATCCTTTTTTATGGCTGCATAGTATTCCATGGTGTGTATGTGCCACATTTTCTTAATCCAGTCTATCATTTTTGGACATTTGGGTTGGTTCCAAGTCTTTGCTATTGTGAATAGTGCCACAATAAACATACGTGTGCATGTGTCTTCATAGCAGCATGATTTATAATCCTTTGGGTATATACCGAGTAATGGGATGGCTGGGTCAAATGGTATTTCTAGTTCTAGATCCTTGAGGAATCGCCACACTGTCTTCCACAATGGTTGAACTAGTTTACAGTCCCACCCACAGTGTAAAAGTGTTCCTATTTCTCCACATCCTTTCCAGCACCTGTTGTGTCCTGACTTTTTAATGATTGCCATTCTAACTGGTGTGAGATGGTGTCTCATTGTGGTTTTGATTTGCATTTCTCTGATGGCCAGTGATGATGAGCATTTTTTCATGTGTCTGTTGGCTGCATAAAAGTCTTATTTGAGAAGTGTCTGTTCATATCCTTTGCCCACTTTTTGATGAGGTTGTTTGATTCTTTCTTGTAAATTTGTTTAAGTTCTTTGTAGATTCTGGATGTTAGCCCTTTGTCAGATGAGTAGATTGTAAAAATTTTCTCCCATTCTGTAGGTTGCCTGTTCATTCTGATGGTAGTTTCTTTTGCTGTGCAGAAGCTCTGTAGTTTAATTAGATCCCATTTGTCAATTTTGGCTTTTGTTGCCATTGCTTTTGGTATTTTAGTCATGAAGTCCTTGCCCATGTCTATGGCCTGAATGGTATTGCCTAGGTTTTCCTCTAGGGTTTTTATGGTTTTAGGTCTAACATTTAAGTCTTTAATCCATCTTGAATTAATTTTTGTATAAGGTGTAAGAAAGGGATCTAGTTTCAGCTTTCTACATATGGCTAGCCAGTTTTCCCAGTACCATTTATTAAATAGGGAATCCTTTCCCCATTTCTTGTTTTTGTCAGATTTGTCAAAGATCAGATTGTTGTAGATGTGTGGTATTATTTCTGAGGGCTCTGCTCTGTTCCATTGGTCTCTATCTCTGTTTTGGTACCAGTACCATGCTGTTTTGGTTACCGTTGCCTTGTAGTATAGTTTGAAGTCAGGTGGTGTGATGCCTCCAGCTTTGTTCTTTTGGCTTAGGATTGTCTTGGCAATGCAGGCTCTTTTTTGGTTCCATATGAACTTTAAAGTAGTTTTTTCCAATTCTGTGAAGAAAGTCATTGGTAGCTTGATGGGGAAGGCATTGAATCTATAAATTACCTTGGGCACTATGGCCATTTTCACGATATTGATTATTCCTACCCATGAGCATGGAATGTTCTTCCATTTGTTTGTGTCCTCTTTTATTTTGTTGAACAGTGGTTTGTAGTTCTCCTTGAAGAGGTCCTTCACATCTCTTGTAAGTTGGATTCCTAGGTATTCTATTCTCTTTGAAGCAATTGTGAATGGGAGTTCACTCATGATTTGGTTCTCTGTTTGTCTGTTATTGGTGTATAGGAATGCTTGTGATTTTTGGACATTGATTTTGTATCCTGAGACTTTGCTGAAGTTGCTTATCAGCTTAAGGAGATTTTGGGCTGAGACCATGGGGTATTCTAAATATACAATCATGTCATCTGCAAACAGAGAAAACTGGACTTCCTCTTTTCCTAATTGAATACCATTTATTTCTTTCTCCTGCCTGATTGCCCTGGCCAGAACTTCCAACACTATGTTGAATAGGAATGGTGAGAGAGGGCATCCCTGTCTTGTGCCAGTTTTTGCCCATTCAGTATGATATTGGCTGTGTGTTTGTCATAAATGGCTCTTATTATTTTGAGATACATCCCATCAATCCTAGTTTACTGAGAGTTTTTAGCATGAAGGGCTGTTGAATTTTGTCGAAGGCCTTTTCTGCATCTATTGAGATAATCATGTGGTTTTTGTCTTTGGTTCTGTTTATATGATGAATTAAATTTATTGATTTGTATATGTTGAACCAGCCTTGCATCCCAGGGTTGAAGCCCACTTAATCATGGTGGATAAGCTTTTTGATGTGCTGCTGGATTTGGTTTGCCAGTATTTTATTGAGGATTTTTGCATCGATGTTCATCAGGGATATTGGTCTAAAATTCTCTTTTTTTGTTACGTCTCTGCGAGGCTTTGGTGTCAGGATGATGCTGGCCTCATAAAATGAGTTAGAGAGGATTCCCTCTTTTTCTATTGATTAGAATAGTTTCTGAAGGAATGGTACCAGCTCCTCTTTGTACCTCTGGTAGAATTTGGCTGTGAATCCATCTGGTCCTGGACTTTTTTTGGTTGGTAGGCTATTAATTATTGCCTCAATTTCAGAGCCTGTTATTGGTCTATTCAGGGATCCAACTTCTTCCTGGTTTAGTCTTGGGAGGGTGTATGTGTCCAGGAATTTATCCATTTCTTCTAGATTTTCTAATTTATTTGCATAGAGGTGTTTATAGTATTCTCTGATGGTAGTTTGTATTTCTGTGGGATCAGTGGTGATATCCCCTTTATCATTTTTTATTGCATCTATTGGATTCTTCTCTCTTTTCTTCCTTATTAGTCTTGCTAGCGGTCTATTTTGTTAATCTTTTCAAAAAACCAGCTCTTGGATTCATTGATTTTTTGAAGGGTTTTTTGTGTCTCTATTTCCTTCAGTTCTGCTCTGATCTTAGTTATTTCTTGCCTTCTGCTAGCTTTTGAATGTGTTTGTTGTTGCTTCTCTAGTTTTTTTAATTGTGGTGTTAGGGTATCAATTTTAGATCTTTACTGCTTTCTCTTGTGGGCACTTAGTGCTATAAATTTCCCTCTACACACTGCTTTAAATGTGTCCCAGAGATTCTGGTATGTTGTATCTTTGTTCTCACTGGTTTCAAAGAACATCTTTATTTCTGCCTTCATTTTGTTATGTACCCAGTAGTCATTCAGGAGCAGGTTGTTCAGTTTCCATGTAGTTGAGCAGTTTTGACTGAGTTTCTTAATCCTGAGTTCTAGTTTGATTGCACTATGGTCTGAGAGACAGTTTGTTATAACTTCTGTTCTTTTACATTTGCTGAGGAGTGCTTCACTTCCAAGTATGTGGTCAATTTTGTAATAAGTGTGATGTGGTGCTGAGAAGAATGTATATTCTATTGATTTGGGGTGGAGAGTTCTGTAGATGTCTATTATGTCTGCTTGGTGCAGAGCTGAGTTCAATTCCTGGATATCCTTATTAACTTTCTGTCTCGTTGACAGAAAGTTTCTGTCAATTCCTGGATATCCTTGTTAACTTTCTGTCTTGTTGACAGTGGGGTGTTAAAGTGTCCCATTATTATTGTGTGGGAGTCTAAGTCTCTTTGTAGGTCTCTAAGGACTTGCTTTATGAATCTGGGTGCTCCTGTATTGGGTGCATATATATTTGGGTTAATTAGTTCTTCTTGTTGAATTGATCCCATTACATTATGTAATGGCCTTCTCTGTCTCTTTTGATCTTTGTTGATTTAAAATCTGTTTTATCAGCGACTAGGATTGCAACCCCTGCTTTTTTTTGTTTTCCATTTGCTTGGTAGATCTTCCTCCATCCTTTTATTTTGAGCCTATGTGTGTCTCTGCACGTGAGATGGGTCTCCTGAATACAGCACACTGATGGGTCTTGACTCTTTATCCAATTTGCCACTCTGTGTCTTTTAATTGGAGCATTTAGCCCATTTACATTTAAGGTTAATATTGTTATGTGTGAATTTGATCATGTCATTATGATGTTAGCTGGTTATTTTGCTCATTAGTTGATGCAGTTTCTTCCTAGCCTCGATGGTCTTTACAATTTGGCATGTTTTTGCAGTGGCTGATACCGGTTGTTCCTTTCCATGTTTAGTGCTTCTTTCAGGAGCTCTTGTAAGGCATACCTGGTGGTGTCAAAATCTCTCAGCATTTGTCTGTCTGTAAAGGATTTTATTTCTCCTTCAGTTATGAAGCTTAGTTTGGCTGGACATGAAATTCTGGGTTGAAAATTCTTTTCTTTAAGAATGTTGAATATTGGCCCCCATTCTCTTCTGCCTTGTAGAGTTTCTGCTGAGAGATCCGCTGTTAGTCTGATGGGCTTCCCTTTTTGCATAACCCGACCTTTCTCTCTGGTTGCCCTTCACATTTTTTCCTTCATTTCAACTTTGGTGAATCTGACAATTATGTGTCTTGGAGTTGCTCTTCTCGAGGACTATCTTTGTGGCATTCTCTGTATTTCCTGAATTTGCATATTGGCCTGCCTTGCTAGGTTGGGGAAGTTCTCCTGGATAATATCCTGCAGAGTGTTTTCCAACTTGGTTCCATTCTCCCCGTCACTTTCAGGTACACCAATCAGATGTAGATTTGGTCTTTTCACATAGTCCCATATTATTTGGAGGCTTTGTTCATTTCTTTTTACTCTTTTTTCTCTAAACTTCTCTTCTCACTTCATTTCATTCATTTGATCTTCAATCACTGATACCCTTTCTTTCACTTGATTGAGTCAGCTACTGAAGCTTGTGCATGCATCACATAGTTCTCATGTCATGGTTTTCAGCTCCATCTGGTCATTGAAGGTCTTCTCTATGCTGTTTATTCTAGTTAGCCATTCATCTCATCTTTTTTCAAGGTTTTTAGCTTCTTTCAGATGGGTTTGAATATCCTCCTTTAGCTCGGAGAAGTTTGTTATTGCTAATCGATTGCAGAATGGCAAATGTTGCTGCCTGATCCTTCCTCTGGAAGCTTCGTCTCAGAGGGGTACTAGGCTGTATGAGGTGTCAGTCGGCCCCTACTGGGAGGTGTCTCCCAGTTAGGCTACTCGTGGGTCAGGGACCCACTTGAGGAGGCAGTCTGTCCATTCTCAGATCTCCAGCTTCATACTGGGAGAACCACTACTCTCTTCAAAGCTGTCGGACAGGGACATTTAAGTCTGCAGAAGTTTCTGCTGCCTTTTGTTCAGCTATGCTCTGCCCCTAGAGGTGCAGTCTACAGAGGCAGGCAGGCCTCCTTGATCTGTGGTGGGCTCCACCCAGTTCGAGCTTCCTGGCCACTTTGTTTATGTACTCAAGCCTCAGCAATGGCAGACACCCCTCCCCCAGCCTTGCTGCCACCTTGCAGTTTGATCTCACACTGCTGTGCTAGCAGCGAGCAAGGCTCCGTGGGCATGGGACCCTCCAAGCCAGGCACAGGATATAATCTCCTGCTGTGCCATTTGCTAAGGCCATTGGAAAAGCACAGTATTAGGGTTGGAGTGTCCTGATTTTCCAGGTACTGTCTGTCAGGGCTACCCTTGGCTAGGAAAGGGAATTCCCCGGCCCCTTCTGCTTCCCGGATGAGGCAATGACCCGCCCTGCTTTGGCTCATGCTCCATGGGCTGCACCCACTGCCAACAAGCCCCAGTGAGATGAACCTGGTACCTCAGATGGAAATGCAGAAATCACTCATCTTCTGCGTCACTCACGCTGGGAGCTGTAGACTGGAGCTCTTCCTATTTGGCCATCTTGGAACCTCCCCTCATGTAAATTTCTTTTAAAGATAATTGGTTAAACTGAATGATAACAATGTGTTGTTATTGCAACATATGTATATACAAATAAAGTATATGACAAAAAAGCATAAAGACTGAGAGGGGAGAAATGCAAGTATACTATTGTAAGGTTTGAATAGTATATGTGAAATGGTATAATTCACTTGAAGCTAGATTGTGATAAGTTTAAGACATATACTATTACCCCACAGCAAACACAAAATTAGCAAAATAAAGAATTATAATTTTAAGCCAAAAAATACCAGAGACAAGTCTCAATCAATTCAGAAGTTTATTTAGCCAAGGTTAAGGACATACCCATGACATAGCCTTAGGAGGTCCTGAGAACATTTGCCCAAGGTGGTCTGGCTACAGCTTGAATTTCCATGTTTTATGGAGGTATAAGACATGAATCAGTACATGTAAGACATACACTGGTTAGGTCTGGAAAGGTGGGGTGTATTAGGGTTCTCTAGTGGGACAGGACTAATAGGATAAATTTATATGTGAAAGGGAGTTTATTAAGGAGTATATACTGTCACAAGGTGAAGTCCCAAAATAGGCCATCTGCAAGCTGAGGAGCAAGGAAGCCAGTCTGAGTTCCCAAATCTCAAAAATAGGGAAGCCGACAGTGCAGCCTTCAGTCTGTGGCTGAAGGCCCAAGAGCCCCTGGCAAACCACTGGTGTAAGTCCAAAAGTCCAAAAGCCGAAGAACTTGGAGTCCAGTGTTCAAAGCCAGGAAGCATACAGCATGGGAGAAAGATGAAGGCCAGAACACTCAGCCAGTCTAGTCCTTCCACATTCTCCTGCCTGCTTTATTTTAGCTGTGCTGGCAGCTGATTAGATGGTGCCCACCCAGATTGAGGGTGGGTCTGCCTCTTCTAGTCCACTGATTCAAATGTCAGTCTTCTTTGGCAACATCCTCACAGATACATCCAGGAACAACACTTCGCACCCTTCATTCCAATCAAGTTGACACTCAATATTAACCATCACATGGAGCAATGTGAAGGGGGAGGAAGGGGCAGTGGGGGGGTTGTGGCCTGCAAGTCATAAGTGGATTAAAAGATTTCCTGATTGGCAATTGGTTGAAAGCTTTTATCTAAAGCCCTGGAATTAATAGAAGGGTTAAAATAAGGGGTTGTGGAGACCAAGGTTTTTATTATGCAGATAAAGCCTCCAGGTAGCAGGCTTCAGAAAGAACAGATTGTAAATGTTTTTTATCAGACTTAAAAAGGTACCAAACTCAGTTAATTCTCTCCCGGATCAGGAAGAAGACCTGGAAATAAAAGGAGATTTTCTATAGAAGGTAGATTTTCCCACAAGAGACAGCTTTGCAGGGCCATTTCAAAATATGTTTAAGAAATATAGCCAGGCACGTTAGCTCATGCCTATAATCCTAGCACTTTGGGAGGCTGAAGCAGGTAGATCACTTGAGGTCAGGAGTTTGAGACCAACCTGGCCAACATGGCAAAACCACGTCTCTACAAAAAATACAAAAAAATAAGCCAGGAATGGTGGTGGGCACCTGTAATCCCAGCTATTCAAGAGGCTAAGGCAGGAGAATTGCTTGAACCTGGGAGACGGAGGTTGTGGTGACTGAGCCAAGATCATGCCACTGCACTCCAGCCTGGGCAACAGAGGGAGACTCCATCTCAAAGAAAAAGAAGAAGAAGGAGAGAAAAGAAATATCTTTTGAGGTAAAATATTTTTATTTCTTTTAGGGCTTGCTGTCTGTCATGTTGGTATCTTAATGGCTACCAAGAGTCTGTTTCATCAGTCGTAAGGTCTCTGTTTTAATGTTAAATGCTGGTCAGCTGTGCCTGAATTCCAAAGGAACGTGAGTATAGTGTGGCATGTCTGACCTCTACTACCCATCATGGCCTGAACTGATTTTCCAGGTTAACTTAGGAATGCCCTTGTTTGAGAAGAGGGGTCCATTCAATTGGTTGATGGGCTTAGAATTTTACTTTTGATTTACATAGTTAATGAACCAGAAAGGAAGATGAAATGTAATAAAAATGTTTGATCCAAATGGAAGAAAAGAAGAAAAAAGAACAAAAATCAAAATTATCGACTCAAACCTAACTATATAAATAATCATATTAAATGTAAATGGTTTAAACACCTCAATTAAAAGTCAGGAATTGTCATATAAATTTTTTAGGAAGACCCGATTCTATGCTGCTTACAAGAAATACACTTTATATATAAAAAAACAAATAGGTTAAAAAATACATACCATGTTAACAGAAATCAACAGAAAGCTGATAAATCTAGCCAGATTAATCAGGCATTAGAAGAAAAAAATGCCAGTAGCAGGAAAGAGAAAGGTGACATGATTTTAGGTTTTAGATGTTAAAAGAATCATAACAAAATATTATATATAACTTCATGTCAATGATTTCCACAATTGTCATAAAATAGATGAACTCCTTGAAATACACAAACTACCATATCTCACTCAAGAAGAAATACATAATCTGAATAGCCCTACATCTGTTAGAGAAATACAATTTGTAGTTACAAAACCTTCACATAAAGAAAATGCCAGGCCCAGGTGGCTTCACTAGTGAATTATATCAAATATTTAAGAAGTAATACTAATTTTACATGAACTCTTCATAGAAAATTTTTGAGAAGGTAATTATTTCCTACCTCATTCTATGAAATTAGCATTACCCTGATATAAATGTCAAAGACATTACAAGAAAAGTAAACTAGAGACGATATCTCTCATGACATTAGTTGAAAAAATGCAATTTTAGCAAATAAATTACAGCATTATGTAAACAGAATAACACACAAGGACCAAGGGGGCTTATCCTAAGAATGTGAAATTGTTTTAACATTTAAAAATCAAACAGTGTACTAAGAAGAAGGAAGACAAAAACAGAAATGAAAAAGACATTGCAACTGACGTCACAGAAATCCAAAGATCATAAGAAACTGCTGTGAGAAAAAATACACCAATAAACTCGATAACCTAGAAGAAATGGATAAATTCCTAGAAACATACAACCTACCAAGAGTGCATCATGAAAGAAATAGGAAATTTAAACAGGCAAACAGTGAATAAGGAGATCGAATCAGTAATAAAAAAAACTCCCAACAAAGCAAAGCCTCCGACCTGATGACTCTGCTGCTGAAGTCTACCAAATATTTAAAGAAGAATTAATACCAATCATTTTAAAACTCTTCCCAAAAAATCAAAAAGGAGAGAATATTTCCAAACTCATTTCACGAGGCCAGCATTATGTGAATTTAAAGACAGATAAAAGACACTACAAAAAGAAAACTACAGGTCTATGTCCCTGATTAATATAGATGCAAGGATCCTCAACAAAATAATTGCAAACCAAATTTAACAGCAAATTAATAGGATCATACACCATGACCAAGTGGGATTTATCCCTGAGTTGCAGGGATGGTTCAACATATGAAAATCAATTAATGTGATACAGTTAATAGAATAAAAGATAAAAATCACAAAATCATCTCAATAGATTTAAAAATAATAATTTGATAAAATTTGACACTTTTTCATGTTAGAAACTCTCAACAAACTAGGAAGAGATGGAAGTTACCTCAACATATTGAGGCCAGATATGAAAATCCCACAGCTAACACCACACTCAGAAGTAAAAAACTAAAAGCTTTTCCTCTAATATCAGGAAAAAGACAGGGATGTTCACTTTTACCACTTCTATTCAACATAGTAATGAAAGTCCTGCCCAGAATGATTATTCAAGATCAATACAAAAAATACATCAAGTTCAGAAGGAAGAAGTGAAATTGTACCTGTTTAAACATGATCTAATATACAGAAAACTCTAAAGACTCCACAAAAAACTGTTAGAATTAATAAGTCAATTCAGCAAAGTAGTATGATAAAAAACAATATGTAAAAATCAATTGCATTTCTATACACCAAAAATAAACTCTCTGAAAGAAAATTAGGAAACCAATCCCATTTACAACACTATCAAAAATAATCAAATACTTAGGAATAAACTTAGCCAAGGAGGTAAAAGACACACTGCAAACTGCAAAACATTAATTTAAGAAATTTAAAAGGACACAAGTAAATGGAAAGACATACTGTGTTCATAGATTGGAAGTCTTAATATCTACACTACTCAAAGCAATCTACAAATTCAATTCAATCTCCATAAAAATCCTAATAGCATTTTTACAGACAGAGAAAAAACAATTCTAAGATTCATATATAATTGGAAAGTACCCTGAATAGCCAAAACAATCTTGAGAAGAAAGAGCAAGGCTAGAGGCATCACTTCCTAATTTCAAAATATATTGCAAAGCTATAGTAATTAAAATAGTATGTTAACAGCATAAAGATAGACATATAAGACCAATGGGTTAGAATAGGGAGCCAAGAAATAGATCTGTGTATATACAGTCAATTGATCTTTGACATGGGTGCCAAGAATGCACAATCAGGAAAGGACAGTCTCTTCAACAAATGCTGCTGGGAAAACTGGATATCTCCATGCAAGAGTAGAACTGGATCCTTGTCTTATACCATGCACAAAAATTAAATCAAAATGGATTAAAAACTTAAATGCAAGGTGAGACTGTAAAGCTTCTATAAGAAAACACTGGGAAAAAGATTAATTTCCAAAATACGTTAGGAACTCAAACAACTCAGTAGATAAAACTAACAATCTGATTTTTTAAATGAGCAAAGGACTTGAATAGACATTTTTCCAAAGAAGAGAAATACCCACAGGTATATGAAAAGATGCTCAGTGTTACTAATCATCAGAAAAATGTAAATCAAAACCACAATGAAATATTTCCTCACACCTGTCAGGATGATGATTATTTTAAAAAAAGACAAGTGTTGGAAGGGATGTGGAGAAAGGGAACCCTTGTACATTGTTTGTGGGAATACACGATAGTGCATTTACTATGGGAAAAAAGTATGAACGTTCTTCAAAAAGTTAAAAACAGAGCCATTATATTGCTCCAATAATCCCACTTCTGGGTATTTATCCAAAAGAATTGAAATCAGGATCTTGAAGTAATATTACCATTCCTATGTTCATTGCAACACTATTCGTAATAGCTCAGATGTAGAAACAACATTAATGTCCATTAACAGATAAATTCATAAAGCAAATGTGGTATAGACATACAATGGAAATACTATTCAGCATTAAAAAAGAAATTCTGCAATATGTACAACATGAATAAACCTTGAGGATATTATTCCAAGTGAAATAAGCCAATCACAGAAAGACAAATCCCGTATAATTTGCTTATCTTAGATAGTGAAAATATTAACAGTACAATTCATAGAATCAAAGAGTGGAATGGTGGTTGCCAGGACGGGAGTGAAAGGGAAGTGAGGAGTTGCTTATCAATGGGTATAAAATTTCATTAATGCAAGATGAATTAGCTTTAGAGATCTGCTGTATAATACTGTGCCTATAGTTAACCATATTTTATTGTATACTGAAAAATCTCATAAGAGAGTAGATCTCATGTTATATTCTTACCACAATAAAATAAAAATTTTAAAAATCAAGCACTGTAGTTCACCAAATTGAGAAATTAAAAAAGAAAAGATCTTATCTCAGTATAATCAGAAGAAAATAACTCTCAGCAAACTGGCACTAGCAGGAAACTTCTTCAACCTGATTAAGGTAATTTACAAAAAACCTACAGGTAATGTCACGCTTAATGTTGAAAGACTGAATGCTTTCCTCCTGAGATCAGGAATGAGATGAGAATGTCAGCTCTTACCACTTCTATTCAACATTGTAATTGAGGCAATAAAGCCAAAAGAAAAGAGAAAAACACACAGGTGAATTGGAAAAAAAGTAAAATTGTTTCTGTTTCTCAGGTAACATGACAGGAAGTTTTGTGGAATCTACACAAAAACTATCAGAAATTAATATGCTACTAATTATTATTAACTAATAAGCTGATAAAGCTACTAGTACTAACAAATTAGTTAAGCAAAGTTGAAGGATAGAATATGACTATACAAAGTTTCTTCCTTATACTAGCAATGAACAATCAGAAATTGTATTTTAAAATTATGATTTATAGGCCATACACGGTGGCTCATACCTGTAATCCCAGCACTTTGGGAGGCCAAGGCGGACAGATCACGAGGTCAGGAGATGGAGACCATCCTGGCTAACACGGTGAAACCCCATCTCTACTAAAAGTACAAAAAAAAAAAAAAATAGCCAGGAGATTTACAATAGCAGCAAAATATCAAATACTTAGGGATAAATTTGAGCAACAAAACATGTAAGACCCTTCTACCCTGGTTTGATAGAGAGGAGTGGAAGAGAAGGCTTGCCAAAGGGCAACAGGAACATTTTGGGGTGACAGATATTAATTCTTGACTTTTAATGATAGTTTCCTGTGTTTTACACGTGTCAAATACTATCACACTGTACACCTTAAATATGTGCAGTTAATTGTATGCCAATTATACCTCACTTCTCTTAGGAATGAGAAATTGGCAATACATGTTAAACCCACTCTGTTACTTTCTTTTCCAGGGCCTCAGACAGAGACAGAGGGGTGTGACAATCACAGCTGTGGTAGCTAAACTTGCCCAAACATCTGTTTAAACTCAGTAAAAATGAATAAATGAAAAATCATTTTGCTTGAGAATAAATTTCTCTTTTTAACTTCTTGCACAAATTGCAACTGCATTGCCCTTCCCTTGCTTTGCCTTTTGATCTCAGAAATGATCCTGCAGTCCGACCCTGAACACTAACCTTGATCGGAGCAGCAGGAAAATATCATGGGATGTCTGAACAAATTATGAAGCTTATAACCCCCAGGTCTTACAATTTTCCAAGCTTCTCCTCCTAGGCATTACCTGTGCTACCACACAGAGCCATTGCAGGCACGGGGAAATTGAGAATTCTTCTTAAAGCTGTTAAGGGACTGAGGAATAAGTGAGATTTGTCTCTTAAGCACTGAAGGATTCCCTAAAATGTATAGACAGCCTTGTAGACAGCTATTGAATTATTTGTCCAACTGTGTCTGGAATGTTTCTTCCAGGATGCAGCTTCTTTAATGCTCCGAATCTAAAGATAGTTTAGATTTGAGTCAATTTTTCCCCCAGGTCTTAAGCTAGGAAACTATGCAGGTAACTAATGGGATTATGACAAAACTCTTCAGGAATCTTTTTATTTTAACCCTTAAAGTAAAAGTGATTCTTTAAATCTTCCTGAACCTTGAAGAATTGAGCTAACTCAGATATTAAGAGTTTAGAGTTGCTTTTTCTTTTTCTTTTCTTTCTTTTTTTTTTTTTTTAGACGGAGTCTTGCTCTGTTGCCCGGGCTGGAGTGCAGTGGCATGATCTCGGCTCGCTGCAACCTTCGCCTCCCGGGTTCAAGCGATTCTCCTGCCTCAGCCTCCTGAGTAGCTGGGACTACAAGTGGCCGCCACCACGCCCAGCTAATTTTTGTAATTTTAATAGAGACGGGGTTTCACCATATTGGTCAGGCTGGTCTTGAACTCCTGACGATCAGGTGATCCACCCGCCTTGGCCTCCCAAAGTGCTGGGATTACAGGCGTGAACCACCATGACCAGCTTAGAGTTTCTCTTTCTACATCATTTACCTTGTATGTCTATATCTAACCCAGGACTCAAGACAGTGATCTTAGACTCAACAACTTGGAATTATTTTTCCATTCACACAATTTCTCCCAGAGCTGTTTAAATTCACAAGGTAGCTGCTTCTGATGGGTTTATGAGTCAGATTTAGACTTAGCTCCCTCAAATTTTACAGAGATCTCTTTTTTCCAACTTGTTTCCAACAAGAGTGTCACAAACACTAGGTGCTAGAAAACTCTCCACTCAGAATAGTGACCTGCATGTGTATCATCTACAAGACCCCCAGCAAAGACTTGACCTCATTCCCTGAGACTCTATTTAAAGCTGGGACTTGTCCAACTCTGGATGAGCTTGCCTTCTCAAGTTTCTAACTCCTAGGGGTGAGCAAGAAGCTCTACAGTTAAAATTTAATGGAATTTTCAGCCCGGCATGGTGGCTCACGCCTGTAATCCCAGAACTTTGGGAGGCTGAGGCAACCAGATCACAAGGTCAAGAGATCGAGACCATTCTGGTCAACATGGTGAAATGCCGTCTCTACTAAAAAAATACAACAGAGCAAGACTCCGTCTCAAAAAAAAAAATGGAATTTTTTCACATTTTTTCAACATTTCCAGAAAGATGGTTGACTTTGCTGGGTTTTCTTTCCTTTTCTTAACCTATAAGAGCAATATCTGTAACCTGCATCCTTTGCCCACAAATGAACTCTGACTTCCTGAAACTCTAAGTGAGCAACTTGGTTGTTACTTCTGGAGGTATCAGCCTTCTGCTAATTGCATTTAAGATGCCATTGTAGAAAGTTTTGGCCATAGGACCTGGCTGGAAAACACTGGCCCCACTGGACTGTACTCTGTACTCAAACTTTCCTTAAGTATAAAGATTTGATAGAGAATGGCTTTTATATAGGAAGATCCTGGGGATGGTTAAGCACATGAGAAATGATTATTGGGGTTCTCTGAGAAAGAAAATTGTCAGAAGAGGCAATTGAATCACCGAGATCTACCAACTAATGTAGAATAAGTCACTGCAAGAGTCAGCTTAATTTCTCTCCAAATGAGAAAGCAGTCGTCAAACTCCTTCACATATCCTTGAAACATACGAACAATCTGGGCATCTGTTGTCTACACAGGGGTTGCTTCTCTTGAATTCTTTAAACATAATTTGGTACAATAGAGTATTAGTCTTTTGCATATGTGTGTGTGTGTGTCTGTGTGTATACACACACAGACATACACACATATGCCATACAATATTTTTTGAAGTTTTATTAAGTTTAATAATTGAATGACTAATACTGCAGCTATGTCTAGCATATTGTGTTAGAAAGCATGCTTAGCCTCTCTGTAAGAGAGAGCCCCAGAGACCTGGGAACATTTATCTATGTAGAACCATATATCTAGTAGAACCACAGAACATTTATCTATGTAGGCTGAATGTGCGATTTATCATATTCTCAACAATAATCCTACGCTTGGTGAAATGTATAAGGGACCTTTGCGTACCTTTTTTTCTTTTTGCAACTTCATGTGAATCTACAATTATTTCAAAATAAAAAATTTTAAAAAGTACATGTGTCAAAAGAAATCTCTTGATAAACATAAAACAATAAAAAAGGAACCTTTGTCAGAAACACATGGATAGGCTCTCTGTGCTTGTCTCTCATGGCTGTTGCTTAACTTGAATAAAAATTCACATCATGTCAAATATTACAAGCAACATATCTGTGACATAGTCTATTGAAGCAGTCACATTGGCATTGGGGAGATACACAAACAAAGCGAACCATAGCCATCTGGTATTCTCAGCTTGTTTACAAAATCACTTAACGAGGCTAAGTTGAAGATGTGGAAATAGAGGTGCATCTGGGAGTGAATGGTCTCACCTGTCCCCGACTTACTTTTCTCTCTCTCCATTTCCCTCAGGGCTCAATGAAGAGGGAGTCATGAAGAATTTGGAAGAGCAAGTGCCCCAGTCCTATGTATTTATGTCTCCCCACTGATGTACAGTGCTCCATCTGCCATAAATGTCTATCGACTCAATTCTGAGTCATTTACTGGACTTCTATTTTTTTTCCTTTGGGCTATTTCATCTATCAGGAGATTTGCCCCATGCTGTCTTGAAGGCTAACATTATGGATTTTGATTGGTGTACGGCAGTTCCTTACATCTTATTATTATTATTTTTATTCTACAGATTTGTTTTCAATTCTTCGGCCTTTGACTTTTTTTGTACGAAGTTAAGAATTATTAATAGTTGTTTAAATACTCAAAAAACACAGTGAAAATTTTTAGGGGAAATGCACTGAATATATCTATCAATTTGAAAATGGAGGCTGGGTGCAGTGGCTCACGCCTGTAATCCCAGCACTTTGGGAGACAAAGGCAGGCGGATCACGAGGTCAGGAGATCCAGACCATCCTGGCTAATATGGTGAAACCCCGTCTCTACTAAAAATAAAAAAAATTAGCTGGGCGCGGTGGCTGGTGCCTGTAGTCCCAGCTACTGGGGAGGCTGAGGCAGGAGAATGGCGTGAACCCGGGAGGCGGAGCTTGCAGTGAGCCGAGATCGTGCCACAGCACTCCAGCCTGGGCGACAGAGTGAGACTCCGTCTTAAAAAAAAAGAAAAGAAAATGGAAAAGCTTAAAATCATGAGTTATATATTATCTTACATATTACTATATACATAATTCAGTGAATTATAGTATTCAAGAATATAGAATGAATTTTCATTTAGTTTTATAAATTTCCATGTTTCTTGATCTTATTGAGCATTCAAGGCAATCAATAAAATATACTCCTGATACTAGAAATTCCTTATATTTTCTGGGTATTTTTTGTGGCATCTGTACATTGCAAATACTTTCTACCAGTCTGAAGATTGGTTGTCACTTTGTTAGGTTTTCTTTAAGATGTTTTTTTCTTTCTGGCCGGCCGCGGTGGCTCACGCCTGTAATCCCAGCATTTTGGAAGGCCAAGGCGGGCGGATCACTAGGTCAGGAGATCGAGACCATCGTGGCTAACACGGTGAAACCCCCTCTCTAATAAAAATACAAAAAATTAGCCGGGCGCGGTGGCAGGCACCTGTAGTACCAGCTACTCAAGAGGCTGAGGCAGGAGAATGGCGTGAACCCGGGGTCTGGGCTTGCAGTGAACCGAGATTGCGCCACTGCAGTCCAGCCTGGGTGACAGAGCAAGACTCCATTCAAAAAAAAAAAAGAGAGATTTTTTTCTTTTCAATGTGGAAGAGTTAAATTATCTTTTCCTATTGTGGTTTTGTTTCAGACAGTATTCATAAGAAAATTCTCTTATTCTTTTTACTAAATGACTCACATATTTTGTTTCAAATTTAAGTTTTTAATCCCACTGGGATGAATTTAGTGTAAGGCGTAAGTACGGATCCACAATGTTTCAATATGGATATCTGAATGGTTTAACTGCTTTTATTTTATTTTATTTATTTATTTATTTATTTATTTATTTATTTATTTATTTATTTTGAGATGGAGTCTCGCTCTGACACCCAGGCTGGAGTGCAATGGTGTGATCTTGGCTCACTGCAACCTCCGCCTCCCGGGTTCAAGCGATTCTCCTGCCTCTGCCTCCCAAGTAGCTGGGATTACAGGCGCCCACCACCACGCCAGGCTAGTTTTTTGTATTTTTAGTAGAGAGGGGGTTTCACCATGTTGGTCAGGCTGGTCTTGAATTCCTGACCTCAAGTGATCCGCCCGAGTGATCTGCCCGCCTCCACCTCTCAAAGTGCTGGGATTACAGGCGTGAGCCACAGCGCCTGGCCATGACAGCTTTTAAAATAGTCATCTTTCTAAATTGCCCTGCTGTTTCCACTTTCTCATAGGTATCTGTTTCCATTTTGTTTCTTCAGTTTCATTGGCTTGTCTCTATTTTTTCCAATACAAAGCTATCTTAATTAATTTATTTTCATCATAAATTGTAAGGTCCAGTAGATAATTTCTCTTATGTTATTACTGCATGAGAGTGTCTTTGGTTTTCTTTGGTGTGAGGTTTATTTTTTCATATTAATTTTGCATCAGCTTATGAAGGACATTAGGAAATCTGGTTGAGGTTTTGGCTGGAATTAACATTGACAATTTGGGTGGAATTGATATTTTTTATGATTTTGACTTTTCCTATTGATATTTGCAGTATAAATCTCCATTTATTTGCTTTTATTTTTTTTCTCTTATGAATAAGTTCACCTTTAAAATGGTGAAACCATAGTATTCATCTCCCAGGGTAGGTTAAATTTCTTACAATAGTGAGGGGACTATAAAATACTTTTTATCTTTGGTGAAATTTACCCCTAAGTTCATAGCATTTGAGTTTGCTATTGAAAAATTTGTTATTTATATTTTTAACTTAACAATTACACATTTTTTTAAACCAGTTAATCACCAAGTATGCTAATCCTAAATTACATTTTCTCTCCTCACTGATGTGTGTGTCTCCTCTGTAAGACACCATGTGGATATAAATGCTAAGTATGATTATGGGCCTCTGGTCTTTTCCTGTGAGCTACTTTGCCTCTCACTGTGCCTATACCACTGTCTTGATGAGTCTGGCTTTCTAAAACCTTGATTGGTAGTAAGGCACGTGCTCCAAATGTGTTTGTTTCTTTTACAGATATTTTTGAGTTTTCTTACCTCTCTTTTTTTCAAATATATGTGAAAATCTGGCTATCGATGTCCTCACTCAACCTAGTGGATATTTTAAGTGGAAAAATATTGTATATAGAGAGCATATTGAAGTGTGAGATGCTTCATGTATGGAACTATCTTATGCATGAACATAGACCTGATTAAGTTATGTGCATTGACAGGTTGGAAAGATGCATTTAAGATTTAAGAACAATAAATGACTTCCTCTGTTTCCACTAGAGTCCCCACAAAATTGAAACACATTAGGGGAAAAACATAGATGAAGTCCAAAATATTTTTAAAAATAGCTCACAGATAATGACTCATAGGACAAAACATTTAGGGTTGGAGCTCAGCCAGCTTTAAGTTCTCAGAGCTTAAAGGGTCAGGGTCACTAGCTCAAACCTGAGGCCCCTAATCAGCCTGGCACCTGTCCTAAGGTTGGAATGGGCTGATACTTTGCACTGGACACTCTTGTTCCCTGAGAGATGCCCACTTTGCTCTACTTGCCTCATTTGTTCTAATAAGATCCTATACTGGTGATGTCAGCAGGTGTCTGATACAAGGAAATATGGTGTATGGAGTGGGAGAGGTGAAGAGTAGTGAGGTAGTGATTTCATGGTGTGGGATACATTAGGACCAACCCACTTAGAAAAAAATGGCTTTCGCAACAATTTTTTACCACTAATGCCCTTGGCAAAAACATCCTTAAGAACAATTGCCCTTAGCACCAACACTTTTAAAAATATGCCTATCACAACAATGACTTGTTAATAATGGCCCTTAGCAACAAATCCCATAGCAACAATACCCTTAGCATAGACACCATCAGGAATAATGCTTTAAGACAACATTGTTAATATTAACCCTTTTAGCCAAAAGACTCTTGGCAACATAATCTAAGCAACAGTAACATTAGAAAAATGCCCTCAGCTATAACACTATTTGCCACAGTTGCTCTTAGCAACACCTTTGACTGACATTAACACTCCTAGAAGCAATATCTTACATTAGCAATCATGGACCTTAACAACCACCCCAAACAACAATGACCTTAGCAACAAATAGCTTGAAATGAATACCTTTACCAAAATGTCCTTTAAAAAAATGGCCTTTAGCATCAAGACCCTTAACAAAAATGGCCCTTAGGAACAATGACCCTAGAGACAACACTCATAACATAACAACAATGGCCCCTAACAACAATGTCCTTAGCAGCAACATCATTAGCAATGGTGCACCTTACTGACAAATCTCTAAGCAACAACAGCCTTAGCATAATTGCCTGTAGAAATAGTGGGAATTATGCCAATTGCAACAATGCCATTGGCAACAATGTCTTTAAAATCAATGTCCATAGCAACAATGCCCTTAGGAACAATGGTATGTCCATTTACCTCTATAAATTGCCATGGTACTTTGGAAATGGTCAAACCATGGCCTGTTAGTGTATCTTAGCAAAAACACCCTTAGAAATAATACCTTCAAAAACCATGGCCCTTAGCAATAACAAAATTAGAAATAAAGCAATTAGCAACAATGCCCTTACAAAAATGTCCTTTATAGTGGCATTAACAACAGCACTCTTACCAATGGCACCTTAGTAAAAATGCTTTTAGTATCAACTCCTTAGCAATAATGACATCAGCAACAGTGTTGTTGGCAACAGCACACTTTACAGCAATGCCCTAGCTACAAAATACATAATATCAATGAACTTAGCAACAATGGCTCCTGGAGAAATGCTCTGAATGGTAATACTCATAGAACCAACACTCTTAACATCAGTACCATTAGCAAGAAAGGGGTAAACAACTGACCTTAGAAATGACATTCTTAATAATGTCCTTAGTAAAAAAATCATGCGCATCACCCCTATAACCAGTGCCCTTAGCAACAGTGCTCTTATCCAAACTTGCCTTACCAAGAGTTTACCATTGTTTACCTTATAAACAATGGCCCTTAGCAACCACACTCTTTGCAACAATGTCCTAACAATATTACTATTAGCAAAAATCCCCTAAGACCAGCATTCTTGACAACAGCCCTCTTGGCCCTTAGAAGCAATGACTTTAGCAACCAACAGTGAGCCATAAAAATAAAGCCTTGGTAATAATGCTGTTAGCATTGACCTTAGTAAAATGGTCTTAGCAACAGTCTTTAGCAAGAGTGACTCTAGAAATGTCCCCTTCCCAACAATGCCCTTTGAAGAAAATACCTGTAACAACAATGCCTTTAGTCACAATGCCTTCAGCAAAAATGTCCCTTGCCAACATTAACACCCTAGGAACAATGATCTTAGAAACAGTGTCCTTAACAATAATATACAAAAACATTCTAAGCAATAGTACCCTAAGCAACAATATACTTAGCAGTAATACCCTCAGTAACAATACTCTTAGCAACACGAGATTTAGGATCAGTGCTGGTAGAAACAGCATCATGAGAAACACTAGCAATAGTAATAATGCCTTTAGCCACAATGACCTTCAACAGTTCTCTTATGAACATCACCCATAACTACAATGGCTCCAGGAACAATGCACTTAGAAATAACTTCCTTAGCAACAGTGACCTTACTATCGATGCCAATTGAAATATCGCCCTTAGGCACGTGTTCCATGGCAGCAACATCATTAGTAACCACAGCTTTTGTAACAATGACTTTTAGCAAAAACATTAGCATAGTGCCTTAACAAAGGCCCTTAGAAACAATGCAACTACAGGCCGGGCAAGGTGGCTCATGCCTGTAATCCCAAGCACATTGGGAGGCTGAGGTGGGTGGATCACTTGAGGTCAGGAGTTTGAGACCAGCCTGGCCAACATGATGAAACCCCATCTCTACCAAAAATACAAGAATTAGCTGGGCATGGTGGTGCACGCCTGTAATCCCAGCTACTCGGGAGGCTGAGGCAGGAGAATCACTTGAACCTGGGAGGCAGAGGTTGCAGTGAGCTGAGATCATGCCACCACACTCCAGCCTGGGCAACAGAGGGAGAATCCATCTAAAAAAAAAAAGAAAAGAAAAGAAAAGAAAAGAAAAGAAAAGAAAAGAAAAGAAAAGAAAAAAGAAACAACGCAATTATCATCAATTCCCTTGGCAACGGATCCTTTAGAACATAATGCTCTTAACAACAGCACCCTTAGCAACAACATCCTTGACAACAGTGTACTTAGCAACAGTGCCTTTAGCTAAAATGGCCTTTAGTAAAATCAACTTTAGCAACAATGCCCTTATAAAAGATGCCCCTTGTAACAGTGTCCTTAGCCAGAATCCCTTTAGGAACAATGCCTTTACCAAAATGTATTTGCAACAATGTCCTTAGCAAGAGTCCTTTTGTAACAATACTCTTAGAAACAATGCTCTTACTAACATTCCCTTAGGAACAACACTGTCGGTGACATTAATGCTCTTAGCAACAATGACCCTTGAAATAATGCCCTTCAAACAATGTCCTTAGAAGCAATTGTACTTAGACACAATGACCTTTCATAACAAATGCCCTTAATAACAACCCCCTCAGCAACAATGCCCTTAGCCTCAGTTCCTTGAGTAACAGTGCTATTAGCAGTAAACCCTTAGGTAAGATGCCTTTACCACAGTGCTTTCAGTAATAACGTGTTTAACTTCAACACCCTTAGAAACAATGTTCTTAGCAAAAATGGCCCTTAGCAACAAAGCTCTTATGGATTCACTAAGAAACAGTCCCCTTAGCAACAGTGCCTTTAGCAATAATCATTTAGCAACAAGACACTTTACTAAAGTGCCTTGCAATAATGTACCTAACATCAACATTCTTAGCCATAATGAGTTGTAGTAAAAATTATCTAAACGTGTTTTTAGCATCAGGGCCCTTAACATCAAAACTCTTAGATTTAACGACTATAACAATAATATCTTTAACACAGTTCCTTCGCAACAGCCCCTAACAATAGCCTTAGGAACAATGCCTTTACTAAAATGCATTTAAGTTCAACGGCCTTAGCAACACTGTCCTTGGCAATATTAGATCTTAGTGGCAATGCTCTCAGCAGCAGTGGTACTCAGCAATGATTTCTCTTACAACACCCTTAACAACAATACCCATAACAGCAGCACACTTTAAAAAACAGGCTTAGCAACAATGTCCTTAACATCAGTGCCTTTTGGAACATCAACCTCAGCGACAGTTGCACTTACTAAGAGTGCCTTTAGCATCAGTCTCCTTAGCAATACCACCATTCAAACCAACACCCCTTAGCCAAAATGATTCTAATAACGGCACACTTTATTTTCTTTTTGACAGAGTTTCCTTCTTGTTGCCCAGGCTGGAGTGCAATGGCGTGATCTCGGCTCACTGTAACCTCCACCTCCCAGGTTGAAGCCATTCTCCTGCCTCAGCCTCCCAAGAAGCCAGGATTACAGGTGTGCACCACTACGCCCAGCTGATTTTGTAATTTTCGTAGAGATGGGGTTTCACCATGTTGGTTGGTCAGGCTGGTCTCAAACTCCTGACCTCAAGTGATCCACCGGCCTCGGCCTTCCAGAGTGCTGGGATTACAGGCGTGAGCCAGCGTGCCCGGCCAACAGCACACTTTCAAACAACACCTTAACATCAACATCCTTAACTCTCTTTGCAACAATACCCTTAGGATTAAGTCCCTGAGCAATAGAGTCATTAACAGCAGTGTATTTAGTAGCAATGCCTCTTTACTGTAATACACTTAACAATAATGAACATAGTAACAATGCCCTTAGCCATAAAGGATTTTACAACAACAACCTTAGCAACGACACTCACAGTGACAGTGTCCTTCAAATGAGTTTCTTAGAAACAGTGGTCTTAGGATCAACATTTTAGCATGAATGCTCTTTGCAACAATTATTCTAGGAAAAGTGCTTCTAGCAACTAGCCCTTTAGCAACAACACACTGAACAAGAATGCTCTAGCAAAAATGTACTTAATAACAACATCCTTAGCAAAAATACCCTTAGCAAAAATGAGTCTTAGTAACAGAGCCTTAATGTCAATGTCCTTAGCTACAATGCCCCTAATATCATTGTCAGAGTGACAATATCCTTAGCAACAATAGGCCACATCAACAAAACACCTAGCAGCAAGTTCCTCAGTGACAATGTGCTTAATATAAATATCCTTTATATTTATATAGGATAAAGGACTCACAATGTCCTTTAGCAACTCTTATAGGCAATGGCCTTAACAATAATATTCATAATAATATTTTCCTTACAACAGTACTTAACAACCTTTGCACAGCACCCTTGGAAAAAAGCCAATTTAGCAAAACCTTTAGTATCATTTCCCATAGAAACAGTGGCTATAAAACAAGGCCATCAGCAACAGCTGCTTAGCAAAAATATCTTTAGAAACAATACTCTTGGCATCAACACCTTAAAAACAACCTCATTATTATAACTGCCTTTAATAAAAATGCCATGAACAACCAGGCCCTTAGCATTGGTGCAGTATCAACAGTGTCCTTAGAAACAGCACCATTAACAACAACTCTGTGAGCAGCACTATTTGCAGCAATGTCCTTATTAACAATGTATTTAGCTAGAGTACCCTTAGCAATTGGCTCTTAGCAACATCACATTTGGAAACAGTACTCATAACAGCAGCTCCCTTATCAACATCACTTGTAGCAAAATCTGTTTTATTTTCAACACTCTTACTATCAAGGCCTTTAAGAACAATGACTCTAAGAAAATAGCCCATAACAACAATTTCCTTAAATTCAACACACTTTCCTTAGGAACAGCACCTTTAGCACCAATGATCTTAGCAACAGTAGCCTCTGCAATAGTGGCCACGGCCACAGTGTTCTTAGTAACAGCACCTTTAGCAAAAACATCCAACAACAACATTAACATCAATGCCTTTGGCTGGGCACAGTGGCTCATGCCTATAATTCCAGCACTTTGAGAGGTGGGATCGGGAGGATTGCTTTAGACCAAGGGTTCAAGACCAGGTTGGGCAATGTAGTGAGATCTCATCTCTACAAAAAGAAAAATTAAAAAAATTAAAAAGCTAGCTACATGATATGGTTTGGCTGTATCCCCATCCAAATCTCATCTTGCATTGTAGCTCCCATAATTCCCACGTGTTATGGGAGGGACCCAATGGAAGGTAATTGAATCATGGGGGTGGGTCTTTCCCATGCTGTTCTCATAATAGTGAATAAGTCTCATGAAATTTGATGGTTTTATAAAGGGGAGTTTCCCTGCACAAGCTCTCTTGCCTGCTGCCAGGTAAGATGTGACTTTGCTCCTCTTTTGCCTTCCGCCATGATTGCGAGGCCTCTCCAGCCATGGGGACTGTGAGTCAATTAAATGTCTTTCCTTTAAAAATTACCCAGTTTTGGGTATGTCTGTATTAGCAACATGAGAACAGTCTAATACACTAGGCATGGTGGTGTGTGCTTGTTGTCCCAGTTGCTTTGGAGACTGAGGCAGGAGGATCACTTTGAGCACAGGAGCTCAAGCCTGCAGTGAGCTGTGATCACGCAACTGCACTCCAGCTTGGGTGACAGAGTGAGACCCTGTCTCAAAACAAAACAAAACAAAACAAAACAAAAATGCCTTTAAGAACAGCATGTTTAACGAAAGACCCTCAGCAATGACTTCCTTAGCCACAACAACCTTGGCAAAAATATTATTACTACCATTCTCTTAGCAATTAAGTCCTTAAGAATAATACTCTGAGAAAAAAAGTGCTTTTAGCAACAGTTTCCTTAGAAACACTAGTCATAGCAGTAACACCCTTAGCAAAACTTTCTTTGCACAATAACTTCAAGGCCTTAAAGAACAATGCCCTTACAAAACTTTTTTGACATCAACACCTGCCTTATACCATTTTGTGTTGCTCGAAATAAATACCTGAGGATGGGTAATTTATACAGAAAAACTATTTAGTTGGTTCTCAATTCTGATGGCTGGGAAGTTCAAGATTGGACATCTGTGTCAGGTGAGGGCCTCAGGCTGCTTCCACTCATGGCAGAAGATGAAGGGGAGCTGGTGTGTGCAGAGCTCACATGATGAGAGAGAGAGAGAAAGAGAGCAGAAAGGTCTCAGGCTCTTTTTAACGACCAGCTCTGGCAGGAACTGATAGACGACACACTCAGCCTCAAGGAAGGAGATTAATCTGTTAATACGGGATTTGGTCATATGACCCAAACACTTCCCATTAGGCCCCATCTCCAACATTGGGGATCAAATTTCAACATGAGGTTTAGAGGGGACAAACATCCAAACCATAGCAATACCCTTAAGAATAATAACCTTACCAATAGTACCCTTATCAAAAATGCCCTTAACAACAGCTTTCTTAGCAACAGTAGTTACTAACAGCACTCATAGCAAAACCTTAATCTTCAATAACACTTTTAATATCAATGCCTTTAAGAATGACAATCTTGACCAGATATGGTGACTAATGTCTGTAGTCCCAGCACTTTGAAAGGTTGAGGCAGGAAGTTTGCTTGAGGCCAGCAGTTTGAGGTCAGTCTGGGCAATATAGTGAGATGCTGTCTCTACAAAAAATTTTTTAAAAAAGTCAGGTATGGTGACCTGTGCTCGTAGTCCTAGCTACTTGGGAGGCTGAGGTGAGAAAATTGCTGGAGCCCAAGAGTTTGAGGTTAGTGAACCATGATCATAACACTGCACTCCAGCTTGGGCGACAGGGCTAGACTCTGCCTGTTTTTTTTTTTTTTTTTTTTTAAAAAAAGAGGACCTTCAAAATTGCTTCCATCAACAATTACCTTTGCAAACTTTCCATCAGCAGCAATGCTCCTAGCAAGAACATCTTTTGCAGCAATGCTTTTAACATATCTCATTTTGCAACATAGAAACAAACGCAGTTAGGAACAGCATCCTTAACAACAACTTTCTTTACAACGATATTAACACAAGAGTCTTGCAACACCCTTAACAACAAGTTTCCTTTGCAACAGGGCCATAACATCAACACTCTTGGTAACTGCATTGGTACCAAAACTTATCTGTGACAATATCTTGAACATTAATGCCTTTAAGAGAAATGCCCTTAAAAATACCTTTAGCAAGCATTTCCTTAGCAAACACGCTCCTAGCAACAGAGAGTAAGTTTTGTAAGGGCATGTGAATACGAAGGCAGAGACTGGAGTGATGCCAAGAAATGTGAAAGATTTCCAGGAGCCATCAGAAGCAAGGAAAAACGCATGGAAAAGATTCCGAGTGCTCAGAAGGAAGCAACCCTACCACCACCTGATTTGGACTTCTAAGCTCCAGAACTGTAAGAGAAATTTCTTTTATTTTAAGCCACCTCGTTTGTGGTACTTTGATATGGCAGCCCTAGGAAACTAATACAATTCTCTTAACAAAAAGGCAACAATTTCCTTAGCAATAATAAACTTAGAAATAATGCCTTCTCAACAATGACTTTGCCAACAGTGGCCATAGCAGCCACACCCTCAGCAAAAGCAACTTAGTGCAGATTTCTTAGCAAAGCACGCCAAAACACACTAACAAACATACTAAGAAAACACAAAACACACTAATACTAACAAAGAAAGTGCCTTTCTAAAAACTGCCTATCAACAATCTTATCAACACATTTCATAGCAAAAATTTCCTTAGCACCTTTGCCCCTAGCAATGTTGCCTTTAGCAACAGTTTTCGTGGCAGCAGTGACCATCCAACCTTGATTTAGCAAATGCATCCTTAGCAAAAACTTTCTTGCAACACCACCCTTAATACTAACACCTTTAAGAACGATGTCTTTAGCATAAGGGCCCTCCCAACAATATCATTAGCAAAAACTTGGCAAAATGTGCTTAGCAACCGCACTCTTTGAAAAAGTTCCATTAATAGCAACATACTTAATAACAATGTCTTTAGCAACAGTGGTCATAGGAATTGCTCCTTCTGCAAGAGTGGCTACTGTAATTGTGACCAGAGCAATAATGGCCATATCAGCCATGCATTTAGCTACAGTGGCAGTAACAACTATGTCCTTGGTGGCAGTATGTGTGGGGAACATTTCTTAGCAACAACACCCTTATCTAAGAGGCCCTAGGAGCAAAATCCATTGCAACACTATATGCAGCAACAATGTCCTTAATTATTAGGTTGATGCAAAGGTGATTGCGATTTTTGCCATTTCAGTGGCAAAAACCGCAATCACCTTTGTACCAACCTAATACAATTCCCTTGGCGACAATCTTAGCAACAACACCCTTGGCAACAAAGCTCTTAGCAATATCCTTAGAAACATTGTCTTTAGCAACATTTCTTAGCAATGGTGCCCATAGCAACAGTTCCCTAGTAACAGCAACCTTAGAAGAAACTCCCTTTGCAAGAGCACATTTAACATCACTGCCTTTAATGAAAAACCACTTAATAAAGAAGTCCTGGCTGGGCGCTCTGGCTCACGCCTGTAATCCCAGCACTTTGGGAGGCCGAGGTGGGCAGATCACGAGGTCAGGAGATCAAGACCATCCTGGCTAACATGGTGAAACCCCGTCTCCACTAAAAATACAAAAAATTACCTGGGCGTGGTGGCAGGCGCCTGTAGTCCCAGTACTCGGGAAGCTGAGGCAGGAGAATGGCGTCAACCCGGGAGGCGGAGCTTGCAGTGAGCGGAGATCGCGCCACCGCACTCCAGCCTGGGCGACAGAGCGAGACTCCATCGATGGCCTGATGGCCTGCAGGTGTCTGTTGGCCTGCTCTTCCGCCAGTGTGCTTTCGATGACCAGCTGCTTGTGTCTTCTTCTGCTGATGTGTTCCTTATGATGTCCAGCTGCTTGCGTCCCTGCCTTGCTAAGGTCTCTGGTTTTTATAGGCCCATGATGGGGGCACGGCAGGCCAGGGTGGTCTTGGAAAATGCTACATTTCGGCATGAAAGCAGAAGTGCCTGTCCTTACCTAGGTCCGTGGGGGTGGAGCCCTAGCCAGGGACCATGCCCTCCTCTACCCAGCACTTCCCTTCTCCCCTTCCCTATCATTTAAAGGGACCACGCTCTTCCCTTCCCAGCACTTCCATATCAGTTTGGTACACAGGTAAACTTGTGTCATGGAGGTTTGTTGTACAGATTGTTTCATCATCCAGGTATTAAGCCTAATGCCCATTTGTTATTTTTCCCGTTCTTCTCTCTCCTCCTATCCTCCACCCTAATGTTTCCCTCTGTGTGTCCGTATGCTCTCATCGTTTAGCTCCCACTATAAGTGAGAACATGCCGTATTTGGTTTTCTGTTCCTGTATTAGTTTGCTAAGGATAATGGCCTCCAGCTCCATTAATGTTTGTGCAAAGGACATGATCTTATTCTTTTTTATAGCTGCATAGTTTTCCATGGTGTATATGTACTACATTTTCTTTATCCAGTCTATCATTGTTGGGCATTTAGGGTGATTCCATGTCCTTGCTGTTATGAATAGTGCTGCAGTGAACATATGTGTGTATGTGGCTTTATAATAAAATGATTTATGTTCTTTTGGGTATATGCCCAGTAATGGGATTGCTGGGCTGAATGACATTTCTGTCTTTAGGTCTTTGAGGAATCATCACACTGTCTTCCAAAATAGTAGAACTAATTTACACTCCCACCAACATTGTATAATTGTTCCTTTTTCTCCACAACTTCGCCAGCATCTGTTTTTTTTTTTTTTTTTGCTTTTTGCTTTTTAATAATAGCCATTCTGATGAGAACACATGGACACATAGAGGGTAGCAACACACACTGTGGTATCTCAAAGGGTGGAGGGTGGGAGGAGGGAGAAGGTCAGGAAAGATACCTAATGAGTACTAGGCTTAATACTTGGGAGATGAAATAATCTGTACAATAACCCCCCATGTCACAGGTTTACCTGTATAACAAACCTTCACATGTAACCCTGAACTTAAAATAAAAGTTAAAAAAATAATTACCAATTAAAAGAAGAAATTTCAGGTTTTTAAAAAGAAATTGTAACAGTTCTGCTGAACAATGTTTCAGGATATCATTTTCTCTTAGAAAAACATGTATTCTGCTGCTGTTGGGTGGAGTGTTCTATAAATGTTAGGTATAGTTTATAATGTTTTATTATTTTAAAAAATCACCATTCTGACTGGTGTGAGATGGTATCTCACTGTGGTTTTGATTTGCATTTCTCTAATGATCACTGATATTGAGCTTTTTTCATATGATTGTTGGCCGCATGTATGTCTTCCTTTGAAAAGTATCTGTTCACATCCTTTTCTCACTTTAATGGGGTTGGTTTTTTCTTGTAAATTAGTTTAAGTTCCTTATAGATGCTGGGTATTGGACCTTTGTCAGATGCATAGTTTGCAAATATTTTCTTGCATTCTGTAGGTTGTCTGTTGACTCTGTTGATAGTTTCTTTTGCTGTGCAGAAGGTCTTTAGTTTAATTAGATCCCATTTGTCAATGTTTGTTTCTGTTACAATTGCTTTTTGTGTCTTTATCATGAAATCTTTGCCTGTGACTGTTCTGAATGATATTGCCTAGGTTGTCTTCCAGGATTTCTATAGTTTTGGGTTTTACATTTAAGTCTTTAATCCATCTTGAGCTAATTTTTTTATATGGTGTAAGGAAGAAGTTCAATTTCAATCTTCTGTGTATGGCTAGCCAGTTATCCTAGCACCATTTATTGAATAGGGAATATTTTCCCCATTGCTTGCTTTTGTCAGGTTTGTTGAAGATCAGATAGTTGTAGGTGTGTGGTCTTACTTGTGGGTTCTCTATTCTGTTCCATTGGTTTATGTGTCTGTACCAATAATAAATTTGTACAAATAAATTTGTACCAGTACTATGTTGTTTTGGTTACTGTAGCCCTGTAGTATAGCTCAAAGTCGGGTAGCGTGATGCCTCCAGCTTTGTTGTTTTTGCTTAAGATTGCCTTGGCTATTCGTGCTCTTATTTGGTTCCATATGAATATTAAAAGAGTTTTTTTATAGTTCTGTGAAGAATGTCAGTGATAGTTTAACAGGCATAGCATTGAATCTGTAAATTGCATTGGGCAGTATGGCCATTTTAACAATATTGACTCTTTTTTTCTCTCTCTCTCTTTTGAGATGGAGTCTGGCTCTGTCGCCAGGTTGGAGTGCAGTGGCACAATCTTGACTCACTGCAACCTCCGCCTCCCAGATTCAAGCGATTCTCCTGCCTCAGCCTCCCGAGTAGCTGGGACTACAGGCGCACAACACCATGCCCAGCTAATTTTTGTATTTTTAGTAGAGACGGGGTTTCACCATGTTGGCCAGGATGGTCTCAATCTCTTGACCTCATGATCTGCCCACCTCAGCCTCCCAAAGTGCTAGGATTACAGGTGTGAGCCACTGTGCCTGGCCAACAATATTGATTCTTCTTATCCATGGGCATAGAATGTTTTTCCATTTGTTTGTGCCTTCTCTGTTTATTTGAGCAGTGGTTTGTAGTTCTCCTTGTAGAGACCTTTCACCTCCCTTGTTAGCTGTATTCTTAGGTATTTTATTCTTTTTGTTGCAGTTGTGAATGGGAATTTGTTCCTGATTTGGCTCTTGGCTTGACTTTTGTTGGTGTATAGGAATGCTAGTAATTTTTGCACATTGATTTTGTATCCCGAGATTTTCCTGAAGTTGCTTATCAGCTTAATAAGCTTTTGGGTTGAGACTATGGGGTTTTCTAGAAATATGATCATGTCATCTGCAAACAGGGATAATTGACTTCTTCTCTTACTATTTGAAAGTTCTTTATTTCTTTATCTTGCCTGATTGCCCTGGCCAGAACTTCCAATACTATATTTAATAGGAGTAGTGAGAGAGGGCAACCTTGTCTTGTGCCAGTTTCCAAGGGGAATGCTTCCAGCTTTTGCCCATTAAGTATGATATTAGCTGTGGGTTTATCATATATGGTGCTTATTCTTTTGAGGTATGTTTCTTCAATACCTAGTTTATTGAGAGTTTTTAACATGAATGAATGTTGAATTTTATTGAAAGCCTTTTCTGTATCTTTTGAGATAATCATATGGTTTTGGCCTTTAGTTCTGTTTATGTGATGAATAACATTTATTGGTTTGTGTAGGTTGAACCAACCTTGTATCCCGGGGATGAAGTCTACTTGACCGTGGTGGATACGCCTTTTGATCTGCTGCTCAATTCGGTTTGCCAGTATTTTGTTGAGGATTTTTGCATCAACATTCATCAAGAATATTGGCCTGAAGTTTTTTGTTGTTGTTGTTGTTGTATATCTGCCAGGTTTTGGTATCTGGATGATGCTGGCCTCATAGAAGGAGTTTGGGAGGAATCCCTCCTCCTCAACTTTTTTGAATAGTTTTGGTATGAGTAATACCAGCTCTTCTTTGTACATCTGGTAGGATTCAGCTGTGCATCTGTCTGGTCCTGGGCCTTTTTTGGTTGACAGGCTACTTATTACTGATTCAAGTTTGGAGCTTATTTTTGGTCTGTTCGGGGACTCAATTTCTTCCTGGTTCAGTCTTGGGAGGGTGTATGTGTCCAGGCATTTATCCATTTCTACTAGATTTTCTAGTTTATATGCATAGAGGTGTTCATAATATTCTCTGAGAGTTATTTGTATTTCTGTGGGGTCAGTGGTAATATTGCCCTTGTTGTTTCTGATTGTTTATTTGAATCTTCTGTCTTTTCTTTTTTGTTAGTCTAGCTAGTGGTCTATTTTAATTTTTTCAGAAAATCATCTCCTGGATTTCTTGATATTTTGAATGTTTCTTCATGTCTTTATCTCCTTCAGTCTGCCTGTGTGCAGTTCTAGTTTCAGTCTGTTTTAGAGATCAAGCTTGAATACATAAGAAGAAAGAAGAAGACTGAGAAGAAGGAGAAGGAGGGGTGGAAGAGGAGGAATAAGAGAGGAGAAATAAGAAGGAGAGAGAGAGGGAGGGAGGAAGAAGGGAAAGAGGAAGGATGATGAGAGGGAGGGAAGGAAAGAGGAAGGGAAGGAAGGAGGAAATCAAGTTAGGCAAATCACCGCTAGGTCATCCTTCAGGTCCTGAGCTCCATACCAAGTTCAGGGGTACATGTGTAGCTATTGAAATGGGAAAGGTTCCCTTGTCCCTTTTGCAGGGCATGTGATGGAGGTGTGGCTTGCTTCTTCAGTGCTTCAGTGCCCCACTGGTCAAACCTCTAGGGGAGCATACAGACAGGCTGTGGGGCTTCAACCCCATGGCAATGTCTAGGGGTGAATGTTTACTACTCTTATCCAACGTTCAGAGTCTTCTGTTAGTAACATTATGCATTTTGACCATGATTATCAGTGTAATCAGTAGATAAGGCAGAATGTGTTTACTCGATCTGAACCAAACTGGAACTCTGCAATTGGGGTGTGTGCAACTGTGCACCTTCAAAATGTCCATGTTGAAATTTTAGAGCAACTGATTAATATGACCAAAAGTACTTAAGAGAAAAGTTTCAAAACACTAATTCTAATTATACCAGCTCTTGTTCTTTTTTATGTTCATGCTTAATATTTTCCTTCTTTATTTATTTTATTTTTTATTTTTTTGAGACAGAGTCTTGCTCCACCCAGGCTGGAGTGTAGTGGTGCAATCTCAGCTCACTGCAATCTCTGCCTCCTGGGTTCACGCAATTCTCTGCCTCAGCCTCCCGAGTAGCTGGGATTACAGGTGCCTGCCACCGGTCGTAACTAGTTTTTGTATTTTTAGTAAAGATGGGGTTTCGCCATCTTGGCCAAGCTGGTCTTGAACTCTTGACCTCATAATACACCTGCCTTGGCCTCTCAAAGTGCTGGGATTACAGGCATGAGCCACCATGCCCAGCCATACTTAATATTTTAATTTCAAATTTTATATATGAATGTATGTATGTGTCAGTATATATATTCTATGTACATATTGTGTGTGTGTGTATATATATACACACACACAGAGAGAGAGAGAGGGAGGAAGGATATAAAAATTATATCAAAGAAGAATGTAGTGCTATTTAAACCAAAGAACACACGCACAACTCTTACTATTATAATCATAGAAAAAAATTAACTGACATTAAAGGGCATTTTAAATGTTCATATATTTTGTCTCTTTTACTCAGCTACTAAAATACTCAAAATGTGGTAAGATTTTCTAATGTTTATATAGTAGAGGTTTTTTGTTTAACTAGTTGAGTTGGATTGCTTATCATACAATTGAGAGCTTCGAATATCAGAACAGTTACTTACATGCCAAAATTGCTTATGAATGTTCTGTCATGTCAAAGTTGTTCCATTACCATATAGAAGTAAACTCTGATCTGTATAGATACTACCAGATGGGTGTGGTGGCACATGCCTGTAGTCTCAGTTACATGGGAGGCTGAGGTGGAAGGGTCACCTGAGCCTGGGAGGTTGAGGCTGCAGTGAGCTGCGATCACACCACTGTACTCCAGACTGAATGACAGAGTGAGACCCTGTCTCAAATGAAAAATAAAATGATATTACTAGAATATACTTGTCTAAACTTTTACTTTGAGAAAACAGAAAATCAAACACATTGTTCTCACGGTGTTAACTTTCAAAGAAATGATCTGTAATTTATCTGGTGGAATTCAATGCAGTTATTTTGTTTATAACATTTTTCAAAAGCTACGGTTTTCCCTGGGTGTGTGTGGGCACAATGCCATTGCGATAACACTCATCTTTTGCAGAGTGCTGAAAGAGTGAGCCAGGACAGCCTTTCGACATTGAACAAGGCAATTCCCAATCTCTTGGTGGGTGAATGGAGGAAGAGTGATATCCTGATTGATGCCTCCACAATTACTTAAAAATATATGGACACTCTAGAAAATTACTCTTTTTGGACCATCCCCTCAGGTCCCTTAAATATCTGTGTCCCTTAAATATCTGTGTCCCTTTACTGAGCAGCAATTTGGGTCAGAAAAAATGGGCTCTGAGGATGCTCAGAAACAAAAGTGTTTTGGGGAGTAAGATATGGTTATCAAGGCCTGGAGAGGCAAACCATGTCCAGAAAAGGTCCCTGATGATAGAACTCCCTGAGTATTCTTGCAGAAATGAATATCCACCAGGCTTCTTCTTTTTTTTTTTTTTTTGAGATGGAGTCTGTCTCTGTCGCCCAGGCTGGCGTGCAATGGTGGGATCTTGGCTCAATGCAAGCTCCGCCTCCCAGGTTCACGCTATTCTCCTGCCTCAGCCTCCCAAGTAGCTGGGACTACAGGTGCCTGCCACCATGCCCGGCTAATTTTTTTTGTATTTTTCGTAGAGACGGGGTTTCACCGTGTTAGCCAGGTTGGTCTCGATCTCCTGACCTCGTGATCCACCCGCCTTGGCCTCCCAAAGTGCTGGGATTACAGGCGTGAGCCACCGCGCCCGGCCCCTTGTTTTTCAATCACAAGATATGAGTCATTGCAGGAAACAAATAAAATGGAACCAACACAGAGAAAGGTAGAGATGGAAGAGGTAAGACTAAATTCTAGAGATGCTGCTTATGCCCTAAGGTCTGTCCTTTAGCATTTTGTAACATGAGTTAAAGTACGTTTGAGTTGTGTCTTTGTCATTTGCATCCAACAGAGCCCTGGCTGTGTTCACTGAATGGATCTAGTCTCTGAAAATTCACCGACATTTTTGGCTTGGCGCTGTGGCTCATGCCTGTAATCCCAGCACTTTGGGAGGTTGAGACGGGAAGATTACGAGGTCAAGAGATCAAGACTATCCTGGGCAACATGATGAAACGCTGTCTCTACTAAAAACACAAAAAATTAGCTGGGTGTGGTGGTGCGAGCCTGTAGTCCCAGCTACTCAGGAGGCTGAAGCAGGAGGATTGCTTGAACCCAGGAGGCGGCGGTTGCAGTGAGCCAAGGTGGCGCCACCACTCTCCAGCCTGGCAACAGAGCGTGACTCCGTCTCAAAAAAAGAAAAAAAAAAATTTCAGGGATATTTATGTAGTGACCTGTTATTTAATTTTTCAATAATATAAATCTGTTTCAAGAAAAAGAAATTTTAAATAAACTCTTATGATTTTCTTTCTCCTGAAAATTATTCCAGAACTTAAAAAAAAAGAAGAAACAAAACAGAGTAAGTACATTAGCTTTATTCAACATAGCATCTTGTCTAGTAGTAAACTACTAAAAACAGTCTCCTGAGTGGAAAAAATATAAATTTTTGTCTATAGCATCAGCGTTGTCCTGCGTGTTCTCATTATTTTCTCCAAATAAATTGGCTCAATATGCTGCTAAGTATTACCATTTATGTTTATTTTGAAGTTCTATATCTTGTCTTTCCTGTTTCATCTGTAAACAGGCAATTATTGCCTCAGTGTGTATTCTGATACATTTTCTCTCTAAATCTATTGTCCAACATCTTGCATATAAAATCTGGCTTTTCTCTCATATATCAAAATCACAGGTCACATAGTCTCAGTGCCAAGAGTTATAAGAACAACTACTTTATTTCACTCCCATCTCTGTGAATACAAAACTTCAATCTCTAAAGTATTTTGTATCTATTTATAACACTATGTTCCTGGTTTATTATTATATTATTTCATTATTAGTTCTTAAAAACTTAACAAGGTGCTGAATAATTTTGTGAAATATTCCATGGAGAACTACCATTAAAATAGTGATTACTTTAATTATATTTCATCACCTCATTTCACAAGTCATTACAAAACTTCTTAATTGTTTAAAAATGAATGTACTTGGGTGGGGCACAGTGGCTCACACCTGTAGTCCCAGCACTTTGGGAGGCCGAGGAGGCCAGATCACCTGAGGTCAGGAGTTTGAGACCAGCCTGGTCAACATGGTGAAACCCCGTCTCTACTCAAATTACAAAAATTAGCCAGGCATGGTGGCACACGCCTGTAATCCCAGCTACTCAGGAGGCTGAGGCAGGAGAATTGCTTGAACCCAGGAGATGGAGGTTGCAGTTAGCCGAGATCATGCCACTCCAGCCTGGCCGACAGAGCAAGACTCTAACAAAAAAAAAAAAAAAAAAAAAAAGGAATGTGCTTATCAGTCCAAGGGAAATAACTATCAAATTAGTCACTGCCCAAGTGTACGTCTTTTAGTGAACACAAATTGAGAATTTAGCACTGAATCTCCAAAGATTTAGTTTTTATCTAGGTTTTGAAATTGAATTTTGTTTTGTTTTGTTTTTTGTTTTGAGACAGTGTCGCTCTGTCGCCCAGGCTGGAGTGCAGCCGCGCAATCTCGGCTCACTGCAGGCTCCGCCCCCCGGGTTCACGCCATTCTCTCGCCTCAGCCTCCCGAGTAGCTGGGACTACAGGCGCCCGGCGAATTTTTTGTATTTTTTGTAGAGACGGGGTTTCACCGTGTTAGCCAGGATGGTCTTGATCTCCTGGCCTCGTGATCCGCCTGCCTGGGCCTCCCAAAGTGCTGGGATTACAGGCGTGAGCCACCGCGCCCAGCCTGAAATTGTATTCTTAAGTCTCAGAAGGCTGAAGCTTTCAAGACAGGAAGAAGACAGGGATTCCCGAGTTGAACAGAGAGTGGGCCGGGCGCAGTGGCTAACGCCTGTAATCCCAGCATTTTGGGAGGCCGAGGCGGGTGGATTCCGAGATCAGGAGATCAAGACCATCCTGGCTAACACAGTGAAACCCCATCTCTACTAAAAATACAAAAAATTCGCCGGGCGTGGGGGCTTACGCCTGTAATCCCAGCTACTTGGGAGGCTGAGGCAGGAGAATGGCGTGAACCTGGGAGGTGGAGGTTGCAGTGAGCCGAGATCAGGCCACTGCCCTCCAGACTGGGCGACAGAGCGAGACTGTGTCTCAAAAAAAAAAAAAAAAAAAAAGGCCGGGCGCGGTGGCTCACGCCTGTAATCCCAGCACTTTGGGAGGCTGAGGCGGGTGGATCACAAGGTCAAGAGATCGAGACCATCCTGGCCAACATGGTAAAACCCCGTCTCTATTAAAAATATAAAAATTAGCTGGGCGTGGTGGCAGGCGCCCGTAGTCCCAGCTACTCCGGAGGCTGAGGCAGGAGAATCGCTTGAACCCGGGAAGTGGAGGTTGCATTGAGCCGAGATCATGCCATTGCACTCCAGCCTGGGCAACAGAGTGAGACACCCTCTCGAAAAAGAAAAAACAAAAACAAAACAAAACAAAAAGATAGTAAACAAGAAAATACTAATGTAGTTGTTAACTTTGAGAAGGCAGTAATTTAAGACATGGATGTGAATGCAGATAATGGAAGTAAGGAGAGATCAGTGTAGGCCACAGTCCTGTGCTGAGTGCTGTCTTTACCTGTCTTGTAGGGATGGCTCAGACAAAGTCTTAACAAACAGGCAAATGACTGATTTATCTTTTTAGATTCTAAAGTTCATAAGAATAATAATGAGCTTTATAGTTGACAATAGCTAACTAAAATTTGGTCTAAGGGGAAAAGAGCGCTCAATGTTAATCAGTCAGTTTAATCTTTCTGTAAACCCTCTCAAAAAGCAAAATTGAATTAGATCATTGTGGTGCACAGATTCTTTTGGTATGTGTGTCCCACCTATAATAAAGTTCTGGGCCAGGCGCGGTGGCTCACGCCTGTAACCCCAGCACTTTGGGAGGCCGAGGCGGGCGGATCACAAGGTCAGAAGATCGAGACCATCCTGGCTAATGCGGTGAAACCCCGTCTCTACTTAAGAAATACAAAAATTGGCCGGACGTGGTGGCGGGCGTCTGTAGTCCCAGCTACTCAGGAGGCTGAGGCAGGAGAATGGCGGAGCTTTCAGTGAGCCGAGATCACACCACTGCACTCTAGCCTGGGCGACAGAGCCAGACTCCGTCTCAAAAACATAAATAAATAAAATAATAAATAAATAAAGTTATTGGCCAGGAGCAGTGGCTTACACCTGTAATCCCAGCACTTTGGGTGGCCGAGGTGGGTGGATCACCTGAGGTCAGGAGTTCAAGACCAGCCTGGCCAACATGGTAGAACTTCCCTCTCTACTAAAAATACAAAAATTAGCCAGGCATGGTGGCGCAAATCTGTAATCCCAGCTACTCAGGAGGCTGAGACAGTAGACTCGCTTGAATCCAGGAGGCAGAGGTTGCAGTGGGCCGAGATTGCACCACTGCACTCCAGCCTCGGTGACAGAGTGAGATGCCGTCTCAAAAAAAAAAAAAAAATTTATCTGAGGACTGACCCCACAATGGTGAGCCCTGCCTGCCATGTTTGTGTTATGGAATCATGTCCCATACCTGACCCTATTTATTTAAAGGTAGAACAACTGACCCAACCACATTTTCTCTTTAAAATGTGGGAATTGGGATTGAGAGATACTGGTCTTTCCCTATGGGTCATTTCAACTTAGAATATTTAAGTTTGGGATCGTTGGTGCTTCCATATTTAACCAGCAGCTTAGAAAAGCAGACATAGTCAATCTGTGGAAAGAAAAGCTGAAGTGATGTGGAGAGAGAAGTTGTGAAAAGCGATCAGAGCGCCTGGGAGAGATTTACTTAGGGTAGCTGGAGCTGTTCCTGGAGCTCTTTCCAGACTTTGGTTCTAGCTCTTGAAGCTACCAGGCTTCCAGCCTTTAGAATAATTCCATTTTAACCTCAGAGATTTTGCGCTGGTTCAACACCAAACAAAAGAACACTGAATAAGACAGTAATGTGAGTAGAAAATTCTATGAAATAGAAAAGAAACTTAATGATGCGTCATAGGCCATTGATATTCACTTTCCTCCGTCCCATGTATATAGATCACTTCGCCTCTTCCAAAATTCTTATTTCATAATAAAGATTAACTAGTTATTTAAAAGTTAACCATAGCCTATTTATTGTTTATTAACAAATGTGTTTAAAAGGATCAGGTGCTAAACCTTGGAAGAATATTAAGGCAAGATGTTATGAGATCACAGAAGCTTAGTGCTGAAGGGTGCATGCCTTCACGTGGGTACAGATTCCTCTCTGAGTGCTCATTCACCCATTGTGGTGTGAGCCCTGTGTGAAAACTCTTCAGATGCAGACATGAATAAGACAAGGTGTCTGCTCAAAGTCAACTAGAGGAGACAGTAAGCAAATAATTAGAATGTGGAACATGCCATAATCGAAGTGGATGGGTGTCATGGGAGCACAGATCATGGGGTATCTAACTTTGCTTTGGAGGTTAAAGTATAGCAGTCGTGAAGACTTCAAAGGGGAGGTGGATTTTTATTGGAACTGTTGAGAATAAACAAGGATATACATATTTTCAACTATGGCCTGAGGGTATATGAGCTTTAAGAGCTGAACTGTTGGGGGCATTCCAGACCAAGAGGAAGTCGTGGGCAGAGGCAGGAAGGTGAAAGGAGTATGCTGATTTTGGGAGAAGCATAGTTAGTGCAGAGGGGCTATGACTCAGGGCACACAGGGTGGCAGAGTGTGTCCGGGAGATGAAACTGGCTTACAGGCAGGAAGTGAGGAACAAAGGACCTTCTGAACTTCTTATGGAATTTAGACTTCTATAGATAACAGAGAATCACTGTATGAATACACTCTCATACATTCTTTGAGAGAAAACACATTCATTTTTGAGAATCCTCATTCCTGAGTTCTTCTTTTTGTCTGTGGTACAGCTTCCTGCAGCCCCATCCACCAATTACAGACCTATCTTCTTAGTGTGAGTCTAATGTCTCCTCCATGGGAGGGAGCTGTAGAATTTAAAGTTGACCATCCTGCTCATGCCTGAGTTTTCTCTCTCCTGCAACTAATGCCTTCCTCTCTGTCTGAGACCTGGCATGTCAGGGTAGAAGGCCCTTCACCCTCCTTCTCTTGACAAACTCTGATTTATTGACATCTTACTGAATATCCAATGGCTGGAACTGGGATCAAGCTCTTCAGTGTGGTCTAAAAGCTGGGGGCAGGAGAGACCTCACTCCCTTCAAACTCACTAAGATATGAGGTGACCTCATTATACCACAGGCTTTTGTCAAGGCCACAGGGACATAAACTCAGGTCACTTTTGTTTCACAGGCGTTATTCTAATATTTGTGTTTTTTTGTTTGTTTGTTTGTTTTTTGAGATGGAGTCTCACTCTGTCACCCAGGCTGGAGTGCAGTGGCACGATTCGGCTCACTGCAGCCCCGCCTCCTGGGTTCAAGCGAATCTTCTCCCTCAGCCTCCCGAGTAGCTGGGAGCACAGGTGCACACCACCACACCCAGCTAATTTTTGTATTTTTAGTAGAGACAGAGTTTCACCATATTGGCCAGGCAGGCTGGTCTCGAACTGCTGACCTCATGATCTTCCCACTTCGGCCTCCCAAAGTGCTGAGATTACAGGTGTGAGCCACCACGCCCAGCCTAAATTTGTGTATTTTTAAACTAAAGTGTCAAACTACATTTATCGCCCTCTTCTTAGTTTGGAAAAGTGCTTTGTTTCTGTTAAGATTGTTTTAGGTTTTATCTCTTCACCACACACAGGCTGCTCCTTCCAGTTCAGTATTAGCTGAGGATTTCATTTCAGTCCTCATACAGAGCAGTGATAACAGCTGAATAAACCAGAGCTGAAAGTGGGCCCATGTCCCTCTTTCCTACCTTTCTTTCACACCTGAGTCTGATTGAGTGCAGTATGCAACTTGGATGAGCGTGTATATGCAAAGTGCACGTCAGCAATGACCATAGCTGGAACAGGATGGAGCTAGCCACCTCTTTATCATCTCCCTGCTCATTCTTTGATGCAGAAAACTAACCTTGTCTCAAGCATGTGTAAATAATTCATGCAAAGTTACAAGACATGGTTCAAGTCATGTCCCCTCCAACCACATCAGCACCATGAGCAGTCCTTGAGGGTCTTCAGATAATAACAACACTAAGAGTTAGCATATGTTGAATGCTGTACTATGTATATCATTCTAAGGGGAGAAGCTATGTAGAACCAAAAGTAAGCACAGGCAGCTTCAAGCAGCACAGAGAAACACAACACAGGAGGTGGCTTATTTGATTGTCATTGAAGTTGTGAAAAAGTGTTAAAAACAATAAATACAATAGTTTAAAAAAGAAACAAGGAAAGTATTATATACCATAACAAAGTGGGATGTACTCCGGAATGCAAGCCTAGTTCAACAGTCGAAGATCAGTCCATTATACCAATGGGTTAAAGAAGAAAAATCATGTAATCTTATCAATAGATGCATAAAAAGAATTTGACAATATCTAACAATCATTCATGATAAAAACTTTCAGCAGGCTGGGTGTGGTGGCTCATGCCTGTAATCCCAGCACTTTGGGAGGCCAAGGCAGGCAGATCACGAGGTTAGGAAATCGAGACCATCCTGGCTAACACAGTGAAACCTCATCTCTACTAAAAATCCAAAAAAAAAAAAAAAAAAAAAAATTAGCCGGGCATGATAGCGCGCACCTATATCCCAGCTACTCAAGAAGCTGAGACAGGAGAATCGCTTGAACCCAGGAAGCGGAGGTTGCAGTGAGCCGAGATCACACCACTGCACTCCAGCCTGGGGGACAGTGTGAGACTCTGCCTCAAAAAACAAAACAAACAAACAGACAAAACAAAAACTTTCAGCAAACTAGCAATAGAGAGAAACTTCTTCAAATTGATTTTTTAAATCTAAAAAACCCCTCCACTTAACATGATACTCAAGCCTGAAAAGTGAGATACTTTCCCACTAAGAACAGGAACAAAACAAGGATGTCTCCTCTTATCACTCTTATTTAACTTTGTGTGGAAAGTCCTAACTAATGCAATAAGACAGAAAAAAGAAATAAAAGGTATACAGATAAGAAAGGAAGTGATAGCGGGGCGCAGTGGCTAACGCCTGTAATCCCAGCACTTTGGGATATCGAGGGAGGCGGATCACGAGGCCAGGAGATCGAGACCATCCTGGCTAACATGGCGAAACCCCGTCTCTACTAAAAATACAAAAAATTAGCCGGGCGTGGTGGCGGGTGCCTGTAGTCCCAGCTACTCGGGAGACTGAGGCAGGAGAATGGCGTGAATCTGGGAGGCAGAGCTTGCAGTGAGCCGAGATCGAGCCACTGCACTGCAGCCTGGGTGACAGAGCGAGACTCTGTCTCAAAAAAAAAAAAAAGAAGAAGAAAGGAAGTGATAAAACTGTCTTTGTTCATATATGCCATGAGTGCCTATGTAGAAAATCACAAAGAATAAACAAAAAACTCCTAGAATGAATTCTAAGTATATAATCTTTTATAAGTTATTACAGCAAGGATGAAGGATACAAAGTTAATTTAAAAAAGTCATTTCTTTTTCTATATGCCATCAATGAACAGTTGAAATTTAAAATTAAAAACACAGTGCCATTTACATTAGCACCAAAAATGAAATACTTAGGTATAAGTCTAACAAAATATGTGTAGTATCTATCTGAGGAAAACTATGAAAATCTGATGAACGAAACCACAGAAGATCTAAAAAATCAACTTACTGCATGTTAATGAATAAGAAAATTCAATATTGTTAAGATATCAGTTCTTTCAACTTGATCTACAGATCAGTATTGGGATCAATGCAGTACTTATCAAAATCCAAGCAAGCTACTTTGTAGATATTGACTAGCTGACTCCAAATCTATAGAAAGTCACGAGATGCAGAAAAGCCAACATAATATTAAAGAAGAACAAAATTAGAGAACTAATGCTTACTGACTTCAAGACTTACTGTAAACTTACAGTAATCAAGAGAGTGTGGTATTGGTAAAGAATAGACAAATAGATCAATGGAATAGAACACAGAGTACAGATAGAGACCCTCACAAATATAGTCAATAGATCTTTGACAAATAAGCAAAGGTAATTCAATGGGAAAAAGATATGCTTCTTAACAAATGGTGTTAAAACTACTGGACAACCACATGTAAAAAAATGAATCTAGATACTGACCTTACACTTCTCACAAAAATTAACTCAAAATGGATCATAGACTTAAATTTAAAGGCAAAACTATAAAACTTCTAAAAGATAGCAGGAGAAAATACAGGTGACCTTGGGTTTGACTATGAGTTTTTAAATACAACCCTATAGTGTGACCTATAGAAGAAAAACTTGCTAAGTGGGACTTTATTATAATTAAAAAAATAAAAAAACTTCTACTGCATGGGTGACACTGTTAAAAGAATTAGAAAACAAGTCACAGGGAGGGAGAACATATCTGATAAAGGGCTAGTATTCAAAATATACAGAGAATACTTGAAACTCTACAATAAGAAAACAAATAATCCAACTTAAAAGTGGGCAAAAGGCCGGGCGTGGTGGCTCACACCTGTAATCCCAGCACTTTGGGAGGCAAAGGTGAGAGGATCACGAGGTCAGGAGTTCAAGACCAGCCTGAACAACACAGTGAAACCTCATCTCTACTGAAAATACAAAAATTAGCTGGGCCTGGTGGCACGTGCCTGTAATCCCAGCTACTGAGGAGGCTGAGGCAGGAGATTTGCTTGAACCTGGGAGGCGGAGGTTGCAGTGAGCCAAGATCACACCACTGCACTCCAGCCTGTGTGACAGAGCAAGACTGCATCTCAAAAAGAAACAAAAAAAAGTAGCTGGAATCATACAGTATATATGTTGATATTATTTTTCCAGCTATATTATAAACTCCACATGGGCAACGTATATTCCCTACCTTATATAATGTATAATATATACAATATGTACCTGGTATAATGTATAATATGTACATATTTAATAAACACTCATTATTATAAATATTCACAAATAAATATACATAATAAATGTTCTCTAATCAACCACATAGAGTTTTTTTTAACACCTTTGAATAATGCAATAGGAACAATCTATTAAAATAAAACAGAAAAATATTCAAATTTAAATGAAACAAAGCAACTGCCAAATTATTAAATCCAAGTTCCTTATTTTAGGGGTCAAATGCAAATATTCTTATAGCTTTTATTGCACATACATGTTGGCGGTCATGGTAAAAGAAGATACAACTCTCAACTTCAATAAAATGTATTTCAATATTCAATAAAATTTCAATATTATAAGGAAACCAAAATGTTGTGTTAGTACCAGGACAGTTGCGTGTGTACGTACTTGTGATTTCTTTTTCTTTCTTTCTTTTTTTTTTTTCTGAAATGGAGTCTTGCCTTGTTGCCCAGGCTGGAGTGCAGTGGCGCCATCTCAGCTCACTGCAAGCTCCGCCTCCCAGGTTCACGCCATTCTCCTGCCACAGTCTCCCGAGTAGCTGGGACTACAGGCGCCCGCCACCATGCCCGGCTAATTTTTTGTATTTTTTTTTTTTAGTAGAGACGGGGTTTCACCGTGTTAGCCAAGGTGGTCTCGATCTCCTGACCCCACGATCCACCCGCCTCCCAAAGTGCTGGGATTACAGGCGTGAGCCACTGCGCCCGACCCATACTTGTGATTTCACGTGCACAGTGAGAGTTTGACTCTTTCATCCTCGCCCAAATACTTTTTCATCCCATGACTGTTGGGCTTTTTTTTCCCTTTCTTTCTTTCTTTTTTTAAGATTGCAACTCTATCAATACTGGGATGTCTATTCAAGCTAGCTAAATATGTTGATTAACTTCTCCACTCCCAGCACCTCCTAGAATCCCACTGCAATAACAACAAATAAGAACAAAGGGGCCGGGCGCAGTGGCTCAAGCCTGTAATCCCAGCAGTTTGGGAGGCCGAGGCGAGTGGATCGCTTGAGGCCAGGAGCTCAAGACCAGCCTGGCCAACATGGCAAAACCCCGTCTCTACTGAAAATATAAAAATTAGCCAGGCGTGTTGGTGCGCGCCTGTAATCCCAGCTACTCAGGAAGCTGAGGCAGGAGAAGAGCTTGAACCTGGGAGGCGGAGGTTGCAGTGAGCCCAGATAGCGCCAGTGCACACCAGCCTGGGCCACAGAGTGAGACTCTGTCTCAAAAAATTAAAAGGAACAAAATGAACCCATTTATACAAAGACTACAAGGGTGGAGAGACTTGGATAGCATGCAGGATATTCACAAGCAATTCTGGAAGAAAAATGGCAGATGAGTGCATTCTGTTATTAAAATCACAGCTCAGAGTCCTCCCAGGAAATGGCTGCGGTGTGTAGGGAGCTGTCTTTCACAGTGATGAAAAGAACTCTAGGTTCAGAGTGGGCAGGTATCTGGAAGAACATTTTTTCGCCAGCATCCCTTTATTTATTGATACGTCGATGAGAATAGTACCACAGCCCAATGACATTTATCATTTCAGTTGGCAGTGTCTCTGAGAGCAAGCTGCAAGATTTTCAAGCCTTCACTGAGTCTTCTACTGACATTTAGCTTAATCTTGACAAGTATATCTGACTACTGCAATGTGTTAATGATCAAGGAGTATGTCAAATTATAACATGTCTGCTGCAGGAAATTATGGGGCAATACAGACAGTGTGCACTGGATCAACCATTATCTATGCCTGGTGTTATGACAAAAAGTGATTGATTTTGGCATCAAAATTAAAGTGTTCGTCTGGTTCAACTTGTTCTTTGTACACCGTCCTTCATTATGACAAGCACATATAGCAAAAATACTGTCTTCAATATGAACTGTTGATTATTGATTAAACAGATCACATTTGGATGGGCTGCAGTTTCTGCATGTCTAACGGATGGGATCCTTCTGAGAATGCTAGAGTAGGGAATCATGACACCGAGCCACTTCAGTCATAGACCTTATTCTTGCACTTTTTTTTCTTGCTGGCAATTTTACATAGCAGGTTGAGAAAGCTACTCTATGCTAGTATAGACTATACACCAATAATTTTGATAATGAGTTCCAGGATGTATTTTTCTCCTTATATATTTTCCTTCCTACCATGATACTAGTAATTTATAAGGGGTCTGTGTAGTTTGAATGTATTTGAATAACTTTAGCTCTACTGTTTGATTTGACCCAAAGAAGCGAAGAGGACGTAAATATTCCCATTTAGAAGCCCAAAGTCAGTGAGATGAAACCCAACATCAAGAAATTGAAGCAAAGTTACTTGTGGATAAACAAAGCATTAGGTAAGTTGTCTAGAGCATAATAATTAGATTTACTGGCTTTCAAAAATTTGGATTGCAATAAGAGGAAACTTCATGCTATTTTTACAATTTTCAGTACAAAGGGGTGTATATCTAGAAACAATAAAGTTGACATATTTGAGTACCTTTTCAAAAAAAGGTAACCATAACCTATTTTTTTTTTTTATTAAAAGGACCAGGTGCTAAACCTTGGAAGAATATTAAGGCAAGAGTATTAAGGTATTTTAATTCAGCTTAAGTATCATGTTAAGTGGTGAAATTCAGATGTAATAGAATGCATAAAAGTGTTAATCACCAGTGCTTAAGATGGCCCACAGAGGTTGTTCTACCAGGCATATAGAAATCTTTCTCACTATGCCTGTTTGTGAGCAGGATCAGTGGTTTTGCACTGCAGGCACACATTTCATTTTGTCAAATATTTTTGCAACCTCCCCTCTACTTAATAGTTTAATCACTACATCTATACAAACTACTTGGTCAATGAGGGCCCATTTTACTTGTGTCTTCCAGAAATATTTTGCATTACCCCAAATGACATCTTCCAGCAGATCTTCCTCAGATATAAAGTTTCCAAAAAACTGGCAAATAAAATTACTATCTTCAGAACTTTTCTGTATTTAAAAATAACAATAAAAAGCTATGAATTTACATAAAATTCAAACCATTGTGTTTATAGCCACAGTCCTCCACACAATTTTCATGAGACCATTGGTAAAATCATATATAAGCAACATTCCTGTATTCCTAGAAAGTGTTTATATTTCAAAAGCACTTTATTTTTCCTCAGATATTCCCCTGAAGAAATTTGGAAAGAAATTGAAATTGCCTGTGGTTGTAGCCAGTTCACCTGTAAAGAATATAAAATTCTCCCCATGAACTGGTCATCCCAGTGTCACACTTACAAGTCTGAGAAAAGTGCAAGAGGTTATTCGGAAGTATTCCTTCCTTTTTCAATTTTCTCTTTAATTAGAATAATTGGTAAGAACTAGCAGAATTGGTATCATGTTTTTCTTAAATGTTTGGTAGAATTCTTCACTGAAGCCATTTAGACCTAGCATTGGAGTCTTTGTGGAAAGGTTTTAAATTACAGCTTCAATTTCTTTAATAGATACCGGGCTATTCTGTCTGTTTGTTTTTGAGTAAGACTAGATAATTGTGTCTTTGGAGACATTTGTCCACTTCATCTAAGTTGTCAAATCTGTTGGCACAATGTTGTTCATAATTACCATTTATTATCTCTTTAGCATCTGTTGAATCTGTTGTTATGTTACTTCTCTTATTCCTGATAGGTTGTTTTTGTATTCTCTCTTTTTTTCCTGATAAGCCTGAATAGAAGTTTATCAATACTATGGACCTTCTCAAAGAGACAGAGTTTGGTTTCATTTATTTCCTGTAAATGATTTTTCCTGTTTTCTATTGCATTGATTTCTACACTGATGCTTTTTACTTCCTTTCTTCTGCTTACTGTTGGTTTTATTTTCTTTTCTAGTTTCTTTTTTTTTTTTTTGAGATGGAGTTTTGCTCTTGTAGCCCAGGCTGGAGTGCAATGGCAAGATCTGGGCTCACCGCAACCTCCCCCTCCTGGGTTCAAGCGATTTTCCTGCCTCAGCCTCCCGAGTAGCTGGGATTACAGGCATGCATCACCACACCCAGCTAATTTTGTATTTTTAGTAGAGACTGGGTTTCTCCATGTTGGTCAGGCTGGTTGAACTTCTGACCTGAGGTGATCTGCCTGCCTCAGCCTCCCAAAGTGTTGGGATTACAGGCATGAGCCACCATGCCCAGCCTCATACCTGATTTTATTGTGCTTTGCTTTACTGCACTTCTCAGATACTGCATTTTTTATAAATTGAAGGCATGTGGCAACCCTGCATTGAGCAAGTCTATCAGCACCATTTTCTCCAATAGCATGTGCTCACTTTGTGTCACCGTATCACATCTGGTAACTCTTGCAATATTTTAAATTTGTATTATTATGTCTGTTATGTGATCTGTGATCAGTAATCTTTGATGTTACTATTGTAATTGTTTTGGGGTGCCACAACTGTGCCAATATAAGATGACAAACTTGCCAGTAAATGTGTGTATTCTGACTGCTCCACCGACCATCCCCCATCTCTTTTTTCCTCTCTTCAGGCCTCTGTATTCCCTGAAACAGAACAGTATTGAAATTAGGCCAATTAATAATCCTACAATCGCCTCTAAGTGTTCAAATGAAAGGACGAATCACGTATTTCTCACTTTAAGTCAAAAGCTAGAAATGATTGAGCTGAGTGAGGAAGGCATCCTGGAAACCAAGATAGACGGGAAGCTAGGCCTCTTTCACCAAACAGTTGGCCAAGCTGTGCATGCAAAGAGAATGTTCCTGGAGGAAATTAAAAGTGCTACTCCAGTAAACACACAAGTGATGAGAAAGTGAAACGGCCTTATTGCTGATATGGAGAAAGTTTGAGTGCTCTGGACAGAAAATCAAACCAGCCACAACATTCCCTTAAACCAAAGCCTAATCCAGAGGAAGGCCCTAACTCTCTTCAGTTCTATGAAGGCTGAGAGAGGTGAGGAAGCTGAAGAAGAAAAGTTGGAAGGTAGTAGAGGTTGGTTCGTGAGGTTTAAGGAAAGAAGCCATCTCCGTAAATTAGCTTTTAAAACTTTTTTAAGCAGGCAATCTCTGACTTTGCTTCAGTAACATTTCCTTCTCCTGCTCTTTCTCATTTTCCCATTGCTCATGCTTATACCTGCCCATCTTTCTCTAGTATTAAAGTTTGGATAAATATTTGATCTTTGAATACTATTTTATATTGTTATATGCCTCTGATTTTATCCTCTGGACAAACTTGAGAGACAGTGCAAAAATTTCTTTATATCTTTATAATATAAAGAATTATGGCAAATTTTAAAAGAAGTACCAGCTTTATTGAGGTATAATTTACGTATAATAAACTGCACCCTCTCCACCCCCTCCCCTCACTGTCTACCAAAAAATGTCTGATGATATCCTGGCATTCTGACCCTGCCTGGAAAACACCATAGAGAAAGACAGCAATGTGCTTCCTCGCTCTGGAGTTCTATTGGATTTTAATGGCCATAGATGTATTATGAGCCACACAAACCAGCACTAAAGTAGAGAATTTTTTCCAGAAAAGGTGTGCTAAAAAAGCATGTAAATGAAAGCTTTTATTTGTTTTATTTTCAGCAACCAAGACATAAAATTATTAGGTAGGCCATGATACACAAACACTAACCACTGTACCATCCTTTGATGTTCATTGCAATGGATTCAATGTTTGTGCCCCCCACACAAATTCATATGTTGAAATCCTAGCCCCCAAAGTGATGAGATTAGAAGGGAGGATTGCTGAGAAGTGATTCAGTCATGATGGGCCCTCGGAAATGGGATTAGTGCTCTTATCAAAGAGACTAGGAGCACTGGCTTGCCCCTATCACCACATGAGGACACAGCAAGAAAGCACCCATCTATGAACCACAAAGCAGGCCTTCACCAGACACTGAATCTGCCAATGCCGTGATCTTGGACTTCCCAGCCTCCAGAACGATAAGAAACACATTTCTGTGGTTTATAAGTCACCCGGTCTATGGTATTTTGTTGTAGCATCCCAAATGGACGAAGACATAGTTCACTGTCAGTTCAATTGGCCATGAAGGATTATGGGGCCTGTGTGTCCCTGGCACTGTGATAGGAACTGGGGAGAACACAGAGGGAAATTAATAATACTTCAGCCTGTATTTTAATAACTTAGAGTTTAGTAGAAATAAACTGAAAGGCATAGCAGGGTGAAAAAAAAAAGTGTAAGTAATGTACTAATATTTGTTGAGCCCCACCATATGCTAGACTCTATTGTCTTACTTATACCTCTCAGCAAACCTATAAGTTAGGTCCTATTAGCTGATTTATAGATGGCAAAATAGGCTCAGTGAGGTCAAGTAACTTGCCCTATGTTATAGAGTTATCAGTGGGAAAGTTGAAAGTGGTCAAGGGCTATTTATAGTCAGGAGAAATTAAGTGAGTTTAGAGTCATTCCTTTTCTGTAGCATTACATTAGTCCTGAAATAAAGCAAAATGTATCAAATTCATATACCATATATAAATATATATTTTATTTTATTATTATTATTTTAAGACAGAGTTTCAGTCTTGTTGCCCAGGCTGGAGTGCAATGGTATGATCTTGGCTCACTGCAACCTCCGCCTCCTGGGTTCAAGTGATTCTCCTGCCTCAGCTTCCTGAGTAGCTGGGATTATAGGCATGGACCAACACATCCGGCTAATTTTGTATTTTTAGTAGAGACATGTTGGTCAGGCTGGTCTCGAACTCCTGACCTCAGGTGATTCACCTGCCTCGGCCTCCCAAAGTACTGGGATTACAGGCATGAGCCACTGCGCCTGGTCCTGTATTTTAGATAAGAAAGATGCTTTATCTGTCTCCCATTGGAATACACTTTTGTTGTTCGTTTTTTTTTAACTTAATTAAACTTGAAAGCCAACTTTTGTCAAAACAGAAGAAAATAAAGCAATTTTTAAAAAAATCCAGTGTTTAAAATACTTGTCATTTATAATATATGCATATAACAGAAAAGTAGAAAATAATTCTGCATTTTAAAAGCTTAGCTTCTACATGGCAAGTGTGGGACATAAAGTTGATACTTGACCATTAACTGGATATATTCTAGATTTTCACATTTAATGATAATGGATGTGTGCGTCTCATGGTCAAACTAAAATGATTTATTTTTTACAAATTATCTTTATCATTAGCAAACCAGTCTTACTTTTATTAGTCAATTATAAGTCCACAGAGATATAGGAGCTCAATTTGTTACAGGGAACTTGAGCATTCCATGGATTATCTGAGCTGAATTTGAAGAATGTACTGTGGAGATCTTCTATGTGATATATATAAAGGACGTAGGTCAACTACTGGTTATTATTTAGAAAATACTTTAGGGAAAAAAATTATCTTCTGGGGCCAATAATTGAGTTCTATTAAACTACAGAGGTAGATAATTTTGAAATGAGAAATCAAAATATATTTTGATTTTATATTACTCATATTTTCATTTTATTCATAAAGTTTTTTGGAAAAAGACAACAGAAATTGTACTTTGTTGAGAAGACTCCTAGAGCCAAATAGTCACAGACTCAGAATACACAGAGACAAGCAAAGATGGTTCCAGCAAGCTCTAAGGACACAGACATGTGAAAGAGGCGCTGAAGACACACGAGGACAGATGAATGGTAGATGTCATCCTGATATGGCTGGGCTTCTGGACTCACTGCCTCCTCCTTCTAGAACCCAGCACCTCCAAGGCTGGGAGAAGAGAAGTTTGGGGTCTATGGGAAATGACCTCTGGAAGTGGCTGTGACTGTTTCCAAAGACAAATACAATCTAGATTCTCGAAACAATGCAAATGAACAAAAAATGTGAGTTTAGCAGTTAGTGAAACATTAAGATGAGATACAGGAGTAAACACATTTTTTTCCATAAAAGTAGTGGATGTTAAATAATGAAATACAGTGGTAAAACAATTACAGCCTGGAGGCTTTAAGATGTAAATCAAAAATGGAGACCAGTGGTGTTAATATCATATGAGAGGATTAAATATGAGCTGCTGGTCCAACTGTGTTCTGCAGGAATTCAGGCAGATGGATGAGAGACAGGCTATGAGTAAAGCATTACCACAGCTGGGGGTGCGGTGTATGGAAGCTCATCCTAGCTAGCACTTGGAGAAGAACTCACACATTGCAAACATATCCGGTTAAAAACTGGCATTTGCTGCAACTAAAAAAGGCAAGTGATGGTCTAGGTGAACTGCCTTTTCTTTCTCTCCTTCCAAAGGACAAAATTAATTTTTTTTTTTTTTTGAGACGGAGTCTTGCTCTGTCACCCAGACTGGAGTGTAGTGGTGTGATCTCGGCTCACTGCAAGCTCTGCCTCCCAGGTTCACACCATTCTCCTGCCTCAGCCTCCCAAGTAGCTGGGACTACAGGTGCCCACCACCACGCCTGGCTAATTTTTAGTATTTTTTAGTAGAGACGGGGTTTCACCATGTTAGCCAGGATGGTCTCAATCTCCTGACTTCGTGATGTGCCCGCCTCGGCCTCCCAAAGTGCTGGGATTACAGGTGTGAGCCCCCGCACCCGGCCCCACAAAATTAAATTCTTAATTAAGGAAACTGTTTCTTTTACATCTATTTTTTCATCCGAAACTCAAATGCCAAATATTTAGCTATTATACATGTATTCATTTTCTTAGAATACACTCTATCCAGCTTGACATTTCTTTTAAATTTTCCCATTACATAATTAGATTCTTGATCCTCATTTATGTGATGTTTCCATCATGTGCTGGGTTTTATGCTCCAAATACATGTCCTTTCATACTTTAATGGACACAAATGTGCTTTATAAATATTTTGAAATCCATTTTAAGGTAATTTATTGAGTGAAAATTCTGTGCTCGGTATTTTATTGGGGTCAGTGGTGGGGTAGGAGAAGGAAAGGACATGGCTTTTGCCCTCTAAGGAAGTTGCAGGGAAACTGTCTCTGATTTCATTATCAAAGCGAGGCCCCTTTCTATTTCTCCATTTCAATACCTTTTCTACTGACTTCAGATCTATCAGATGTTATAATTATTTCCCACTTGTGTTTGTGTAACTGTGTTCTGACTATCCACACATTAGGTGTGGGCTCTGTGAAAGCAGGGACCATATTGATCCTGTTCAGTGTCATACCATATCCCTAGCATAGAACTAGTACAGGCATAACAAAGATCTGTGAAAAAGTAAATGCATGCATAACTCAGTTGATCAATTAATGTACATCACTTGGCAGAAGAATAAAAGGATCACGAGAGCAGATGAAAGAAGACTTTATATTTTGCAGAAGAAAATTTTCTGTGTCTTCAAATGATCACAAATATAATTAATAAAGTTGATGAGGCTTTCTTCAAAATGGTGCTTGTAGAAAAAGTGAGAGAAAGGCAAAACAAGAGAAATAATATGGATATTTAGCATTCTGGATGTTTGCTAAGTGACAATTTAATCACAAGAATACACTTCACAGGCCGGGAGCGGTGGCTCACACCTGTAATCCCAGCACTTTGGGAAGCTGAGGCAGGCGATCACGAGGTCAGGAGATCAAGACCATCCTGGCTAACATGGTGAAACCCCATCTCTACTAAAAATACAAAAACAAAATTAGCTGGGCGTGATGGTGGGCGCCTGTAGTCCCAGTTACTCAGGAGGCTGAGGCAGGAGAATGGCGTGAACCTGGGAGCTTGCAGTGAGCTGAGATCGCGCCACTGCACTCCAGCCTGGGCGACAGAGCGAGACTCCGTCTCAAAAAAAAAAAAAAAAAGAGTACATTTCACTCCATTGTCGAGAGAGAGAGAGATATATATAAAATACATATTAAATTATGTGTGTGTATATATATATCTTTTAAGACCAATTTTATTGAGATATAATTTATAGACAGTTAAAGTCACTCATGTTGTGTATAATACGATTAGAATTTTGACAAATGTGTACATACAGTTGTATAATTGGTGCCACCATCAAGATATAAAATATTTCCATTACCCATAAAAAGTTTCCTCAGTCCCTTTTGTGGCCAATGAATCCCCACCTTCCTGCAACCAATGGTTTTCTTTCAGAGACTATAGTTTTTTGTTTTCAAACTTTCTGTGAATAGAATATTACACTGTGTATTTGATAATTGTTTTCTTTCAATCAGCATGGTGTTTTTAAATTCATATATGTTATGTATATTACTACTTCATCCTCTATTTTTGCTTAGTAGTATTCCTTTTCTAGCTGGAAAGTAGTATCAAGATACTAAAATATATTTGTTCATCACTTGTTGATAGGCAACTATAAATAAATTTATTGCCATAAGCATGTGTATACAAGCTTTCTGTGAGCATATGTTTTCATTTTTCCTGTATAAATTTCTACAAGTGAGATTTTGGGGTCATATGGTAAATCAGTACCAAAGTATTTTCCAAAGTAATGTATTATTCTTCATTTTCATCAGCAATATGTGGGAGTTCTAGTTGTTCTACATCTTTACCAATATTTGGAATCATCAATCTTCTTAATTTTAGTCATTCTTTTTTTTTTTTTTTTTTTTGAGATGGAGTCTCGCTTTGTCTCCCAGGCTGGAGTGCAATGGCACAATCTTGGCTTATTGCAACCTCTGCCTCTCAGGTTCAAGTGATTCTTCTGCCTCAGCCTCCCAAGTAGCTGGGATTACAGGTGCCTGCCACCACGCCTGGCTAATTTTTTTATTTTTAGTAGAGACAGGGTTTCACCATATTGGCCAGGCTGGTCTTGAACTCCTGACCTCATGATCCGCCCTCCTTGGCCTTCCAAAGTGCTGGGATTACAGGCATGAGCCACCGCGCCCGGCCTTGATGACGTCTCTCTTTCACTTTTGTTCCTGACAGTCCGGACTGCACAATTTCGGATGTGGGAGACTGGGTGATTTCTTTGATCTTCCCAACCAAATATGACTTACTTAAGGATTTTACCTGTAAAATACATTATTAAAGGTTAAGAGAAGGGTGACAATGGTGGCCTCCTTAGCTTAACTGAATGGTTATGGTTTTTAGTTGTAGTTGCAATCTTATGCTTGTGTGGTTCTTTGATTAGTGTTTGCTTTCTCTATCCTATACTATTAGCTTCATGAGAATAGGAAAATTATTCCTCTTTGAACTCACCATTGTATTCCCAATTCTAGCACAGCGCCTGGGATTTCCTCTGTATGTGTTTTTGAAATGCACCCAATAGATCCACAGACAGATTTTAAAAATATAAACATAGAAACAAATCCTTCTGGTCTTGAAGCTTGAAACTTACATTTGTTTTCTCTGAGTTTCTTCCTCAGGAAATGGACTCTCAGCTCTCTCAAAAAGTATCAAAGAAGTGAAATTCATCAGACCACTGTGTCGAGACAATGAGATGCCAGATGCCAGATTCCTTATTTGTCATGATTGCTTCCTTAGCCCTCCCTAGTTCCTGTTTTCCTGCTCATAGTTACATTTCTTCCTTGCTATATAATCCCCTAATTTCGGCTGGTTGAGGAGATGGAATTGAGACTGATATCCCATATCCTTAGCTGTAGCATGCAATTAAAGCCTTCTTCCTTGGCAATATTCATTGTCTCAGTGATTGGCTTTCTGTGTGCAAGTAACAGAACCTAGATTGAACTCCTGGTATTTCAGTAACATTTTGTGTGTAAGAAAGAGGCTGGAGGAAGGAGAGTAGGGGAAATAGGAAGAGTGTCTTAATATTTTTGTTGCTATAACAGAATACCACAGACTGAGTGATTTATAAAGAAAATAAATGTATTTAGCTCTGAGGCCTAGGAATGCCAAGAGCATGATGCTGGCCTCTGGAGAAGGCCTTCTTGCTGCCTAACAACATGGCAGGGGGCATCACATAGTGAGAGAGCAAGAGCAAAAGGGCTTATGATAAGGAACCCACTACTATGCTAGTGACATTAATCCATTCATGAGGGCAGGACTGACATAAATCTATTCATGAGGGAAGAGGGATTAAGTTTCCAATCTACGAACTTTTGGAGGATACATTCAAACCATAGCAGAAAGACAGACAGAGATAGATATGGAAAGAGGGAACAAGCACACATCACACATACAAAAACTGGACAATATTTTTGTAAATGAAATGCCTAGAGCCTCTCTCGTATATTGTATTTGTTGACATTTTCTCAATTTAAACTTATCACTCCATAATTTCTCTTTTTCTTCCCCAAAATGATGTACATGTTTCTTCCTTATAACCATAAAACACAGTAATTGTTTCCTGGAAAATTTTAAATGTCTCACTACAATTCAAGTATCATACTTACTATATGTTTTTTATCTTCTGTGTATTTTGAAAATGTAAGAGCATTATTGTCTTATACAAAATAGGTGCTAGCAGAGTGAAGAGACAACCAAAAATAACTCAATAAGAAATGGACAAATGATCCAAATAGACATTTTTCAAAAGAAGACATACAGGCCAACAGGCATATAAAAAATGCTCAATATTACTAATCATTAGAGAAAGGCAAATTAAAAACACTTTGAGATATCACCCCATACGTGTTAGGATGGTTATTATAAAATGACAAAATATAACAAGTGTTGGAGAAGACTTGAAGGAAAGGCATCATGGAAAATAGCATGGAGGTTCCTTCAAAAATTAAAAATGAACTACCATATGAACCAGCAATCCCACTACTGGGTATATATCCAAAGGAAATGAAATCCGTATGTCGAAGAGATATCTGCAACACCATATACATTAAATCTTATTTATATATTAGCCCAAGATGTGGAAACAATGTAAGTGTCCATCAATGGATGAATGAATTTTAAAAAGTAGTATATATACACAATGAAATACTATTCAGCCATAAAAAATAATGAAATCTTGTTATTTGTGACAACGTGGATGAACCTGGAGGACATTATGTTAAATGAAACAAGCCAGGCACAGAAAGACCATATGATTTCACTTTTATGTCGAATCTGAAAAAGCTAAACTCATAGAAGTAGAGAGTAGACTGGTGGTTACCAGGAGCTGGACTTGGGGTGGGGAGTGGGGATGTTTATCAAAGGATTCAAAATTTCATTTAAGAGAGGGGAAATATTCAAGAAGAGATCTACTGCACAACATGGTCACTATAGTTAATAACAACATATTGTATTTTTGAAAAAAAATGCAAAGAAACAAAGTAAGTATTAAATAAAAACTGGTTCTTTGAAGCTTTGGCACTGTAATATATGAAGGCCAGAAGCCACATTTATATAGTTCCGTTTCTTGAGCATCCAAGACAATGGATGAGATGACAGTGTTGAGGAAGACAGGTCACTCACTGCGAACACTAGATTCAGCTTCTCCCCCTGCTGTTTGACTCATTCTGCAGAAGGTGAGAATTTATCTGAAGGAGTTTACATATTTTTATGTGACAATGTATTCCTGAGAAGATACCAAATTCTTTCTTCTACATCAAAAATACAGCATGAAACTGACAAGAGAGCACATAAATGATGATTTTTTTTTAAGTTTCCAGGAATATCACATGTATCATATTACTGAAAAGAAAAAGAGCATTTTATGCCATGAAAAACTTTGGATATCCTTGAATAATGTTGACTAAAAACAGTGAGTTTATTTAGTATTCATTGTGTCTATATTTGGAGTGTATATTTTTAGTATTTGTCATCTTGCTTATCAAACTCCTGAATCTCACTTAAAAAGTATTTTCCAAAGTTTTTGAAATTTCTCCACAAAAGAAGAAAAAACAAAAAAGCAAGTATTGGAAGTCAAATAGGTTTGAGAAATATTATGACACATGTCCTTCTTGCACATCATAAAGCCTCTAACACTTTTCATAGTAAACCAATAAATGAAACTCAGACTTCTTGCTTTGCTTAATCAAAAAATTAAAGTTTTCCAAACTTCTTTGACTACAGAATCTTTTGACAACACAATATTGATCATTGCACACTTTGAGAGATATTACTCTACAAAAGTCACTGCATAGCACCACTAAAATATGGTGACCGATAAAATGGGCAAAGGTCATTCAGTGAAAGTTTCAAAGCAAAGAGAATGAATGAATATATATATATATATATATATATATATATATATATATATATATGGATGTTTACTTTTTGGATTACAGTTTTCAGATTATGTTTGTTTTAAATAAGCCAGTCTGCTTTCATAATAATTATACTTTTAAGCCATTTTCTGATGAGACATTTGTCATCATGAGAACAATGTAGTAAAAGTTTGTTACACTGGGGATTAAGATATTAGAGTTTCCATTCAAGATTCCCTAATACTGGAAGAGGTTCACTTAAATTCCATGATTCTATGAGAGGAGTCAAATCTGAGGTGCAGGCTCTGCACCTTCCCAGGCCTGCAGGGGCTTTGCACCTTCTTGCGGAACAGTTGCCAGCTGTTATCGCTTCACTCTTAGGTCACTGCCTTCAGTCAAGTCTTTTTTTTTTTTTTTTTTTTTTTAGACAGAATTTCGCTCTTGTTGTCCAGGCTTGAGTGCAATGGTGCAGTCTCGGCTCACTGCAACCTTCGCTTCCCGGGTTCAAGCAATTCTCCCATCTCAGCCACCTGAGTAGCTGGGATTACAGGCACCCGCCACCAAGCCCAGCTCATTCTTTTTGTATTTTTAGTAGAGATGGGGTTTCATCATGTTGGCCAGGCTGGTCTTGAACTCCTGACCTTGGGTTATGCACCCACCTTGGCCTCCTAAAGTGTAGGGATTACAGGCGTGAGCCACCATGCCCGGCCCCAAGTCAAGTCTTTTTCACAGCCTTGGTTCACCATAAAACTAAGGTGGACAATTGTCATGGACAGAATTGTGTTGCCTCAAATTTATGTTGAAGTCCTCACCTCTAGTACCTCAGAATGGGGCTGTATTTGGAAAGAGGACCTATAAAGAGGTAATTGAGGTAAAATTAGGTTATATGGGTGGGCCCTAATCAGTAAGACTGATTTCCTTGTAAGACAAGGAGATGTGGACAGAGACCACACACAGACCACAGGACAATCATGTGAGGACACAGTAAGAAGGTGGCCATTGGCAAGGGAAAAGAGAGAGGCCTCAGAAGAGACCAAATGTGCTGATTCCTTGACCTTGGACTTCCAGCCTCCAAAACTGTGAGAAAAGAAATTTTTTATGGCTGCATAGTATTCCATGGTGTATATGTGCCACATTTTCTTAAAAATGATGAGTTCATGTCCTTTGTAGGGACATGGATGAAATTGGAAATCATCATTCTCAGTAAACTATCACAAGAACAAAAAACCAAACACCGCATATTCTCACTCATAGGTGGGAATTGAACAATGAGAACACATGGACACAGGAAGGGGAACATCACACTCTGGGGACTGTTGTGGGGTGGGGGGAGGGGGGAGGGATAGCATTGGGAGATATACCTAATGCTAGATGACGAGTTAGTGGGTGCAGCATACCAGCATGGCACAGGTATACATATGTAACTAACCTGCACATTGTGCACATGTACCCTAAAACTTAAAGTATAATAATAATAAATAAACAAAGAAAGAAAGAAAGAAAAAAAGAAATTTATGTTACTTAAGCCACTCAGTCTGTGGTATTTTGTTATGGCAGCCCTAGTAAACTAATACAAATATTTTTAGGGACAACAAACCATGGACTTTGTTATTCTAGTAAGATGACTTTAGCACTATTACCTACTTCTACCTTGAAGTGGTAAAAAAAGGCAGTGAGAAGCATTTCCATGGAGTGTATAAATCGTGTCCCGTGAAACAGAATTAGCTAATAAGGTTAACACCTGTCAGCTGTATATGATGCTGCATCTCCAATCTCCATCCGGACAGCAAAGGGGAAGGCATGGACAGGAGACCTGCCTTCAGAAGAGCAGCTGACAAAGGGGCCCACAGCCTGGGGACGGTGACGGCAGTAGCCCCCCGAGGCCTGGGATCCCACAGCACAATTGTGAAGGGAAAGTCTTACTTGCTGGGCCCAGATGTGTAATTTTCTCCCACCACTGTTTTTTTTTGTGAAAAATTCTTAAATAAACATGGTGTTGGACATTTTTCTGACTAGGAAGTTAGGATATTTGCTTTTCTAGCATCTTTATTAGATGACTTTTTATGTTTGCAAAGTCACTCAGAAAAAACTTCATCCTCCCAACACCTCCCTGGACCACAGTCCCCACAAATGACATTGAACTCACAACATAAAGGAACTCACCACTAGGTAAATAGGTGCTTGACTGTGATTTAACACCTGAATTACTAAAATTGATTGCAATAATTATCCAAAGAAAAACAGCCAAGTGCAGCAGTAACGACAGCCTCTGAACTCTCTCCACATCTTCTTGTGGACAGCCTTTGAGCTCTCTCCATGTCTTCTCCGGGACAGCCTCTGAACTCTCTGCACGTCTTCTTGCAGACAGCCTCTGAGCTGTTTCCATGTCTTCTCCGGGACAGTCTCTGAGTTTCTGAGCTCTTTCCACGTCTTCTCCGGGACAGCCTCTGAACTCTCTCCACGTCTTCTCTGGGACATCCTCTGAGCTCTCCACGTCTTCTCTGGGACAGCCTCTGAGCTCTTTCCACGTCTTCTCTGGGACAGCCTCTGAGCTGTCTCCACGTCTCCTCCAGGACAGCCTCTGAGCTCCCTCCACATCTTCTCTGGGTCTCCTGTGGAGTCTGATCACCTTTCAGTTAAGGCATCTCCTGTGAGCAGCCCAGTTGGCTACTCTGAGTTCTGGGGGTAGCTGTCCTTGGTTTCTCTGAATTGCCCAGAAACCAACCTTTCTGTTGCCCATCGTAGTGCCTACGTGGCTTAGCTGGAGCCCTACCCTGCTTTTGTTGCCCAACAAATGCCTATGTGACAGAGCTAAATTCCCATTCAGCTTTAACTGCTTAGTTTTAGAAAACAGGATGTCTGGGGTCAGAAGTTCCTTCTTAGGACTAAACTGGCTGAAGCTGGCAAAATCCGCAATGGCAGCTTGACCTCTGAAAAACCTCTAGCTTCATTATGATCCAATTTCCATGCTAAATGACACTCCCACTGGCACCTTGACAGTTGACAATCACCATGACAATGGCCAGAAGAGACCAAAAACAGGCAGAAAAGAGGTGGCTCTTTGATTCCAAAAAAACCTACCTCCCTTCCCAAGAAAAGCTATGAATATTTCTCCCTTTCCTCTGTATACCCAGCCCCTTCATTAAGAATCCTCAGTTCTCAGGCTCTGAGAAGTTGATTTGCAGGCTATGCTCCCACTTCTGCAATTCCATGGCCATTGAAAAAAGCCCACACTGTTTGATACTCACTCTCGGTTTGGTGTATTGGCTTCACACCAAACAAGAAAGAGCTCCTTTAGGGGTAGTCAGGACCCTGATTATATTCCCACATAGAAACTGTTCCCACTCACTACTGGCACAGCAGAACACATAAACTGTCAGATGGCTCCATTTCAATGATTTGACTTGTAATTCTCAATTGTTTCTGTTCCTAAGATTTTAGGACTTTCTATCAACTCATAAAAAAAATCTTTAAAAAGGTAAGGCAACCTTCAAATCTAAGATGCTCAGCTTTAAACTAGTAAGTTCTTAAGGATGTTTTTTTTCCTTCAAGGAAACTATTCTCCTCTTTGCTGAGCAATAATACAGGTTTTAATATTAAATAAGTACACAAAGTAAAAGAAACAGACAAAAATGTCTTCATAGCAAGGCTGTTAACAGATTTCTTTCTTTTTTTTTTATTTTTGAGATGGGGTCTCACTCTGTTGCCCAGGCGGGAGTGCAGTGGCACAATCTCAGCTCACTGCAACCTCTGCCTCCTCAGTTCAAGTGATTCTCCTGCCTCAGCCTCCCAAGTTGCTGGGATCACAGGTGCCTGCCATCACGCCCGGCTAATTTTTTTGTATTTTTAGTAGAGACGGGGTTTTGCCATGTTGGCCAGGCTGGTCTCAAACTGCTGACCTCAGGTGATCCGCCCACCTTGGCCTCCCAAAGTGCTGGGATTACAGGCATGAGCCACCGTGCCTGGCCAGATTTCTAATATACGTAAAGAAAAAAGAAAAATTTTCAAATATTTGTTTAGATAAGTACTGATATTTAAAAAAACAACCAAGCCTAAATCCCTAGATTTACAATTTTTAAAAAATAAGAAAAGCAATGTAATTCACAGAATAAAATCTTTTGGAGTAAAGTAATATAACTCTAACAAATTGGTAAATCTAGGCAAGAAATGACTTGCCCAAGTAACAGACCTAGTAGGTGGAGAGTTCATCTGACTCCAGAAACCACACTCTACAAAATAAACTTATTGACGTGAAGAATGTATATAATCTGTAACTGGTGTGAAACTGTGGCAGAAATACAAAGAGCCGTGGTCTTGCTCATGATGTTCAAAGGCAATATTTGAACTGAGGGATGGCTGTGTGAATTGAAGTGGTCACTGGAGAAACGTGTTTGAGATTGTGAACCATGGGGAACAGGGGGTGGTAATTCTGGATTTTCGGCATAGAGGAGAAAGAAAGAACTGCAAACATCATTACAGTGAAGGAGGGTGAGGCCCTCCGAAAACTGATTGCGTTTCACCAGAAACACTGATCCAGTGGGGGCAGCTGAAGCACGAAAATGATTAGAACCAGAGTGATGTCACCCACTTTTCTTTCTTTCTTTCTTTTTCTTCTTTTTTTTTGAGACAGAGTCTCGCAGTCTCGCTCTGTCTCCCAGGCTGGAGTGCAGTGGCGCGATCTCGGCTCACTGCCAGCTCCGCCTCCTGGGGTCACGTCATTCTCCTGCCTCAGGCTCCCGAGTAGCTGGGACCACAGGCGCCCCCACCATGTCCGGCTAATTTTTTTGTATTTTTAGTAGAGAGGGGGTTTCACCGTGTTAGCCAGGATGGTCTCGATCCCCTGATCTCGTGATCTGCCCGCCTCGACCTCCCAAGGTGCTGAGATTACAGGCGTGAGCCACCGTGCCTGGCCGATGTCACCCACGTTTCTTAGGAAAGACGTTAGCATCCTCTAAATCCTCACCGACTGTGCCTGGCGCAGCATTATTTTGCAGTTTTCTGGGATTTACAGTTGGCATCATTTGCACAGCGGCAGCGTGACGTGGCTGTGGAGAGCACGGAAGCTCTGTCCCCACGGAAGTGGGCTCTTCTGGTTGCAACATGGTGGAGGCCAGCCCGGCCTCAGGTGAGGGAAGATGCCACAGCAAACCTCTGAGCAACCAAGATGACAAGCACCTGCTTGGAAAAGGTGACAAGCCACAAGGCCATAGGCCCAGTTATAAGGATGAATTGTGTTACACGAATGGTTATAAACCTGACCGACCTCAGAAGGTATATGGAGGAGGCAATTATCAAGCCCCTTGATGGTCTGTGGCTGGATGCACCATACTTTGCCAACGGTGTGAGCATGGCAGAGAATGTAGGTGTGTATATAGGGGAAAACCTCCAGAAAGTTTTTTCTGTGGGAGTTCTTTGTAAAATAATAACAATGCAACTGGAATTATATTGCAATCTATAAAGGGAAATCACTCTTAGGGATCAACATTGTAGAAAGACAACTTGTTTTTTGCTTCTTTGCTCAGTGTTAAGAAGTCATCACATCATTGTCACCCTCCCCACATTCTGTTCTGTAGTGCCCGATTTGTTGAAAGCAGTATGAGGCCTGTTTTAAACATAAATCTATTCTAAATCTAAATTTGTAATACATTCTGAATGTCATTTAGACAGTCTTTTGCCTGGAGATTAAAAATTACTTTATTTCTAGCAAAGTGCTCTGACGTAAAATATTTTAACAACAAAGAAGATCTGTGTTTGTTGTTTTCTCCATTATCTAATTATTGATATCCATTTCATCTGGGCACATATAAATGGTAAAAATATTTACAAGCTTTGAATTAGGTGAATCTAATTAAAAATAAAATATAGATGTTAATAGAGCCTGGAAATATTGTCAATATCTTTTTAATAGATTGAGCCCCGTTGATTATTTCTTCTGGGGTAAAGGCTCAAATTTATTCTGTGAAATTAGACACTCAAATCATCTGAGGCAATATATGGCAGATGAATATACACTGATTGATGGAAATGTTGCTTTAATGCACATTGTTCATTGCAATTTTGCGTAGATTACTGAACTATGAATTACTATTGAGGAACAGCACATTCAACGTGTCATAGCAATCAACTATTTAGTATGGACATTTTCTATGTTTCTAGATTTTCTGGCCACTCTGAGCAAATTTAAATCAAATGACTGAAGTATAATCACTTATTTTAACTCTGTTAAAACAGTCAACTTGAAAAGTATATTTTTCTGTATGAATTTTTTTTTCTAATTGACTCTATTTTGTTCTGATAACTAAACTTATTTAAGTTGCGCTGTTGAAAAAAACTATAGGCCAAGCGCGGTGGCCCATGCCTGTAATCCCAGCACTTTGGGAGGCCGAGGAGGGTGGATCACGTGGTCAAGAGATCCAGACCATCCGGGCTAACACAGTGAAACCCTCTCTCTACTAAAAAAAAAAATACAAAAAAATTAGCCAGTCATTGGTTGCTGGCGCCTGTAGTCCCAGCTATTCAGGAGGCTGAGGCAGGAGAACGGTGTGAACCCAGGAGGCTGAGCTTGCAGTGAGCCAAGATCACGCCACTGCACTCCAGCCTGGGTGACAGAGCAAGACTCTGTCTCAAAAAAAAAAAAAAAAACAACAAAAACAAAACTATATATATATGTATATGTATAATCTGAAGATCCATGTCGATTCCATTATTTTACGATGCAGTGACATTATAAGGAAGTGGAAAAATTAAGTTAAAATTTTTTAATTATGATGAATATAGAAAGGGGATTTCTTGTTGAAACAAATAGGCTAAAAGAGCCTTGATGTCAGCTATGCCTCTCTTAGAGAAAAGACTGTGACCCTGTCATCCCGTTGGATAATCTAGTGATATGCTTTAACAGCTATTGTTAAAATAGATTTTACCAAGGCAAGGACAACAGTTTGCTTATGAGCAATGAGAAGTAAGTAGTCTTACCAGAGTGCACCCTTTGGAAAGTGCTGCGTATATAATTAGTGAGGCCATTCATAATTCATTTTTATTGTACAAATGCTGATTAAATGTATACCTTCTTCCACTCAAATGTTAACGTGTCCCTTCCTCAATACATTTTATTAGGCTATGTATATATCTCAAGCATAGATTAATTTGTTTTGTAAGATTTCAAAACATTCCTTTTTTAGCCCTGTAATGAATATAAAATGGATCCCTACTGCCCATCTTAGAGAATGCGTGTTTCATAGAACTGTTTAAAAAATAAATCCTTTTAAATTGCCCATCTGCTTAAGCTATGTTTGTGGAACATTAGGACTAAGTCATGTCTGACAAACATGTGTCATACTACTATTTGAGGGCATTACTGCATTTTAAGGAATAAAATAATATTATTAAGAAGTATAATTTTTCCAAGTGATACAATAAGAATATTGCTAGAGATTTGACCTATTTGTGAAAAATCTTTGCATGATTATTAGCTTGCTAAAAATAAAATGAACTCTGCAAACGTGATCCAAGCTGTTCTGTATGAAATTATGTGCTAGTTGCACAGTCCCCTGGGAGACCAGTGTGAGTCCAGATGCCTCTTTGCTGGTTTGTTTCATTTCTGGGGTTCATTTTCTAGAGGTTTTTATCATATTTTCAAAGTACAGAAGTCAGGCATCTCAAATTCAAGTCTTGTCTCCCCCAAACTTTAAAAAATATATGACATTGATGTAATTTGGCTGGATAATAACAAACTGAACAAATAAGATATTTTCTTTCATTGAAGGTTGGTAACATTTTCTTCACTTAAAAATTTTTGGTTGGGCACAGTGGCTCATGCCTATAATCTCAGCACTTTGGGAGGCCGAGGCGGGTGGATCACCTGAGGTCAGGAGTTCGAGTCCAGCTGGCCAACATGGTGAAACCCTGTCTCTACTAAAAATACAAAAATTAGCCGAGCATGGTAGTGCACACCTATAATCCCAGCTACTCAGGAGGCTGAAGCAGGAGAATCTCTTGAACTCCAGAGGCGGAGGTTGCAGTGAGCCAAGATTATCCCACTGGACTCCAGCCTGGGCGACAGAGCAAGACTCCATCTCAAAAAATAATTTAAAAAAATGAATTTTCTAAATTGTGGGTCAGAATTCAAGCTAATGGAAACCTGTGGAAGAAAGAATTTTGCAGGTCTGCCTGTGGAATCCATAATTCTTTTCAGAGGCAGCGCTATTACAAAAAAAAAAAAAAAAGTGTGAGGATGTCCCCAAGCAGAAAACCGCCTTCACTGCAATGCTGACAGTATCTGGGTGTCCCAGGGTTCCTGGGGAGTGCAACTGATATCCCGGCTGTGCTGCTACTGTGCTGAGTGGTTTTATATCCACTGAGAAGGATGTGTCAACAGGTGGCTGCTCAGGCACCTAAAGAATGGATGGATGTGAGGTCTCTGTGAAGCCTCTGGGCCAGATCTCTGAGGAGTATCTGTGAGGGGCATCTCACCTATGGTGAGGACGCTGTGTGAGCGCTGCATGGGAGGCCTCAGTGCCAGGCTCCTGGTGAGAACTCTGAGTGAGGTCTCTGTGGAGCCTCAGTTTGAGGTTTCTGCGTGAGTTCTGTGTGGAAAGTCTCTAAGAAATCCGAGTCAGTTTCTGTACGAGGCCTGTGAGGCCACATGAGGTCTCTGTGGGAGGACTCCATGGGGCAGCAAGAGGGCTCCATTGCCTCTTGTGAGGCCTCTGTATGAGGCCTTTGCAGAAGGTCTGTGTGGGAGGTATCTTCCAGAGGTCTCTGTGGGGTCTCTGTGGGAAGTCCCTGTGTGAAATCTCCGTGCTAGGTCTCTGTGTGAGGGACCATGGACTATATGAAGTCCCTGTGTGAGGACCCTGTGTGAGGACCCTGTGAAAGCCCTACAGAATCTCTGTGTGGAATGTTTGAGGGAATTCTATGTGAGAGGTTTCTGGGCAATGAGTGTGGAGCAACCTGAGGCCTGTGTGAGGAATCTATACAAGGTCTCTGTGGAGAGTGGGAGGTCTCCAGGCAAGGTCTCTGTGTGAGGAGGACTCTGAGAGAGGTCTCTGTGAGGCAGTGGGGGGTGCCGTGTGCCATTTCTGGGGCTGGAGGCCGGAGGTTGCAGTGAGCTGCATGAGTCTCTGCATGAGGTCCCTGTTTTATGACTCTGTGTGAAGTCTCTGAGGTCTTTGTGGGGTCTCTGTGTGAGATCTCCCTGTGAGAACCATGGAAGGTCTCTGACATTTGCGGGAGGTCTCTGTGGGACTGAGTGAAGTCTCTCAGCGTGGCCTCTGTGGGGTTCTCTGGGTGAGGACTCTGGGAATCTCTGTGCTAGGTCTCTGTGGGGCACCATGAGGACTCTGAGAGCTCCGTGGGGTCTCTGTGGAGGCTGCAGTGTGTCTCTCTCTGTGGCAGTGAGAGGTCCCCGTGTGCTCACTCTGTACGAGATATCTCTGTGAGGTTCCTGTGGGAGGTCTCCGTGGGTCTCTCCATTGCTGGCCTCGCTGCATGTCATGGGAGACTGAGCTGCAGAAGGGCTAAGGGGTTGTTGTTTCCTGTGTTCTTGCTGGTCTCTCAGTGTTGCCTGTGGCGCTTCTCCTGGCCTGAGCCATGGGCTCCACGTCCAGCTCCTCCACATCCCAGAACTCGCGTCTTGGTTTCCTGAGGGAACCCAGCAGCAGCCAGGCATGGCCCATCCTCAGTGGTCAGGGTCCCAGCTCTGTGCCACACTCTCCTGAGCTCCCGGAGGACCGGGGCTGCTCTCTGCTCCAGGTCCCAGCTCCTCCTGCTGATCCTGGCTCCGCTGTCACCGCTGGGCCCACCTTGGAGGCTGCTTCAGTTATCCGGGCCCCAGAGAGGACCTGGCCCCAGGAGAAGCCACAGGCTGGGGACTGTGCCCACTGCCCCCTGCACCCCAGTGCCGGCCAGTCCCACATGTTGGGGGCAGGGCCATTTCCATTGTCATCTAGATCAGTGGCACTGCCTGGCACTGGCCTCTCCACCATTGAAATGAGGCCCCCGGAAGTGGGCCTCTTGCACGCCTGTATGTGGCACAAGGCAGAGAAAACTCCCTCTAGAGACCTGGCTCCTCCTGTCCATGATTTGTGGAGACCTCCTGCTTTCCCATATGGACAGGGCCCAGAGAGGAGGAAAGCTGTGCTGAAAGCAGAGGGAGACAGCAGGGATGGCTCCTGTCCTGCCCATACCCTGCCCATTCTGGACAGGTCACTTCCAGCTCCCTTGTATGTTCAAATCCTGCCTGCCTGCATCTTCCCTTGCTGGTCTCTGGAACAAGCAAGGATGTCAGGAGCCAGGGGAGATTTGCTGTGTGACCCCAGCTCAGCTGCTGGGCCCTTGTAAGTCGCCACCTTTCCCCAGGGAGCAGTCCTGGGGCTACGTGTATATTAAAGGTCACCAGACTTCGACTCATGCCTGGGGTTCTCTAGTCCTTGCTTTTCCACCTATTGTCAACACATCCTTTAAAAAATTCAATAGGTAGGCCAGGCACCATGGCTCATGCCTGTAATCCTAGCTCTTTGGGAGGCTGAGGCCGGTAGATCACCTGAGGCGAGGAGTTCGAGGCCAGCCTGGCCAACATAGCAAAACCCCGTCTCTACTAAAAATATAAAAATTAGTCGGGCATGGTGGTGGGTGCCTATCATCTCAGCCACTTGGGAGGCTGAGGCAGAAGAATCACTTGAACCCAGGGGCCGGAGTTTGCAGTGAGCCAAGATTGCACTACTTCCCTCCAGCCTGGGCAAAACAGTGAAACTCTGTCTCAAAAAAAAAAAAAAGTTCAATAGATTATTATGTGCAAGCTTATCGAAGATGTTAAGAAATTCATCTTCCTTATTCACTTTGCCTTCTCACTAATATGGCCCTCCGTGTTGGGGGTAAATGTGGTTTTTCTAGGGGTCTGTGATCTGGGAGCTGGAGCAGAGACAGACCCTGGGGTGTGGCCAGGATGAGACACTAGGCCCCTCTAGGCCTGTCTAAGGGGTTGGAATGTCAGAGTCTCCTGGCTCACGGCACCACTGATGGCTCCCTCACACACGCCACTTTGCCTCCTTTTCAATTCTCTGTCTGCATCCCCTGTAGCTCTACAGAGTCCCACCATCAGAAGCCTCTGCACACACAGGCATACCCTACTCCATTCACCCAGAACTACTTCACTGAAGCTGAGAGACATGTAGGTGAGATAGACAAAGGCCGGTGACCCAGGAGCAGGGTCATTCACTCATCTGGGGCAGGGGAGTTCACGGCCCTCAGCAACCTCCATGAAGGCTGCCCCCCTGACCCCCTAGCCCCCACCTACACATGCACAGAGCTGGAAGGTCTGTCCCCACTGCCACTCCAGAGTGCGAGAAAGGGAGAGGCAGTGGGATGGGGACTCTCTGCTTTGCATGTTGGCTGAGCTAAGAGAGCCCATCTCCATCCCAGCCTTTGTCAGGGAGAGAAGGGGCTTCCCAGGGGCAGACGTTATCTATTCTCCACCAGGATACCCAGGGTCAAGACTTCTCCCACTTCTAAACTCAGGGCCCAGCACTCTCCCACCCAAACTTCCACTATTTTGTGACACATGAAGGTACTCGGCTGTGGCACTTCCTGGAGCCTGCATGGAGATGTTCAGTCCCGTGACATCTCTGCAAACCTTCTCCCTACAGCTGCATGAAGTTTGAGGTAGAGTAAGTAGTGGAAAGATGGGTTGAACCTTATTTCAGAGTGGGACCTTCATAGGTTTTTCTCATCTTGTTTTTAGAATTTTTTGTTGTTTGTGTAAAGACGGTATTACGGAAACATAAGGTTCAGTGAAGGAACTCAGGATGAAGGTGGGCTTACAGCACCACTGTCAACATCCCTCCATGTCCTGTCGCTTCTGGAAACCAAGCCCACACCAAGCATGGCACAAATAAAAGCCATCACCCTCTTATGAATAAAAAACCATATATATTGTGGAATATTAAATGTTCTGCATGTACTAACATGAGAGAAAATATTTTTTCTCTACATAGAGTGAATTTTTTCTTGGGGACTTGTTTTTCTCCAGGGAAGGCTAAAAAAGAATTTGTGACTGACCAAATCAGATACCTTCCCAAAGAAGACAGTGCCTTGGACAGTGGTGATGGTGGCTAGAGGCACCGGATGTCTTCGGCCAGTGCTGAGGGGGACTGACTGGGGATACAGCTTTCTTGGGGTGCAAGATTTGGGGATGTCGCAGGCCCCATTGCTCATTGTTGCACCGCACACTTTTCAAGGGCTGTTGATTTCTGATTTGTCTGTCTCTGTTGGGACAACCCTGGCTCTTGAGAGTGGCTTGTTGACTGCTGGCTGCATAGCTCAGTATTCTGCCGTGTTCTGAGTAGAAGAGGTGCCTGTGGTTGCAGGGAAACCCACAGACTGGGGCTTGAAACTTCTGTTTGTGCTGATTTACCTTCGAGGCATGGCGCGCATGGCAAAGTGACATTTTCTCGTCCAGCATTTGTCCAACTGCCGTCATGAGACCCTGAGCTTCAGCACTGCTGCTGTACACACGTGATCTGTTTTTTACTGTTTTTTGGCTCTCAGCAGTGACTGGTGCTGGCTTGCTTTTTTTCTTTGAAAAAATCCACTGAAAAATTTGCTTGATGTTTTCTCCAAAGGGGCTTACTGAAGGAGGCTGTTTCTTTGATGGCAGTAGCTGGACGCCTTCATCCTGATGGGTGTCTTCTGTTTTCCTGACTGGGGTAAGTTGAGGAGTCCTCAATCCTTCAAGCCTTTCTTCATGTTTTTCTAAGTTGGGTTTCCTAGACTTCTCACTCTTGTGAATAGGGGGAAACATTGGCCTTTGGCTCTTGCATGAGCCTTGACAGTTTGGGTTTCTGGGCTCCTCGTGCACCAGTTTGCTCCTTCTGGCTGCCATGAGGTCATGTAGCTCCTGGGAAGCCCGCATGTTCCCAGTAGGCATGCTCTGGAGATGGCCCTGGGGCACTTGAGAAACCAAATTCTCTGAAGCGTGGGGCACAACAGATGCTTGCCCATCTGGAAGGAGCACAACAGCGGCACAAACTTGAGGCTGGGTCTCTGACTTTGTGGCCATTCCAGGCTCAAATTCATTAACAACCTCCTCCATAAGACACAGCTTTCTTGGATCTTGGGAGACAGACACTCTAGGGTGTAGAGAGCTTTTGCTGGTCCCTGGAGCCTCGAAACCATGCACATCCTCACTTGTGGCTTGGAGGTTTGCCAGCATACAGGTTTCCAAGGGGACTCTGCATTGTGGCACTGCCTCCCTTGTCTCTCCAGCCTTTGAAGATTGGGCTCCTAAGCTCCTGCTCTGCTGGATGCTGCCTGTGAGGCTGTACGTGAGGGGCTTAGATGGCCACCTGCCCTCCTGTCCAGCTGGAGGAGGCTTCAAGGGTTCATGATCATTCCAAGATGGGATTCCTCGCGGTGCCCTCTGGAACTGCTTCCATGCAGGTGAGGAGGCCAGAAGACTCTCTGGCATGTGATCAGATGCTTTGGTCAGCACCTGCTTTCTCAGACTTGCCATTGGTGGCTTTCTAAGGAACATGTCCACCTCAACTTCTGAGCCAGCCCCAGATTCACAGGTGGCTGAGGAGGGACCAGCAAGCTGTGTAAGGGACAAGGATGAAACCTTTTCCAGTTTAAAGCACTGAATGGGCTTGAGGACCCTGAGGGGTAGACCCCACCTGTGTTTGGCCCAAAACCTCACAATATGGGCTCCCAACCCCTGCTGAGTACACGGCTCGAGGAAGGAAAGCACCTGGGCTGTGTTCACACAGGCTTTCCCACTTTTCGGGGCTGCTAGATTGCTGGTTTTCACATGGGTGTTGGACACGGGAAGAGCCTGGTTGACAGCAAGCCAGGATCGACGCACACACACGGGGATCAAGCCCTCGTTGGTCTGGCCCAAGTTCCTGCCCATGTGGGCTTTCAGGATGTTTTCTATATGAGTCCTCTCTGTGCATCTTAATAAATCACTTCCCGAGTCACTCCTCAAGGGCTTCCTCAAGTTCCTTTCCAACTCCTCAGAAGTCACCCCCAGAACCTTCCGTGGGAAGCTTTTCATATCCCTGGATAGATTTTGTGGGGTCTCACCCAGAATTTGCCCCAGATGTGGGCACGGGTCCCTCTCTAGCTGGAACTTCACCTTCTGTGCCTCCTTGCTGCCTTCACCTGTGGACATGGAGGACTGCCAGGGACTGGGTTTGCCCTTGGCCTGACTTGTCCCTGGTGATTCATCCCGAAGCTGCATCAGATCCAGAGACTCTTGGATCCTTCCCAGGTTGCCCCAGTGTTGGATGATCCACTTTTTTATGTGTTGCTCCAGTTGTCTCCGGAGTTCAGGACTGACTGGAAAGTTCTCAGGCAGAATGGATGTCAAACTTTCCTGGGGAAGGTTAGGAGTGGAGACACTAAAGACGTCCTGAGATTTTTGGACCCTAGAGGGTAAAGCCAACCTACCTTCTAGTTGTCTCCTCAACAAAGGCCATTCAGGGTGCTGAGTTTCAGGTAGGGAGAGAGCTTGCACTTTATTCTGCGATGCAGGGCAAGCTACTCCAGTGTTCTGAATCAGGGATGGAAAAGCAGGAGATAGGACTGGGAAAGAAGATTGAAGATGGGCCTGAGCCTCGGCCTGAGCCATAGGTGTGGGCCGGAATTGGGGTGTGGATGAAATAAAGGGTTGGCACTCGGGCCCCAGATGGGACAGGGGCTGGGCCTGGAAAAGCAGTGGGGACATTGTAGTCTCCCTTTGAATTGGGCAGACATTGGACATTTCATTGAACAAGAAAGGAGGAGACTGTAAAGTATAAGACCTGTCAGTTACCCAGGCGTTAGCCACCAGGGACTCGCTGTGCAGAGAGGGGAGGCCCCAGAAAAGCTGGCTATAATTCTTCCAAAAACTTTCCTGCCAGAGCCTAGGATCTGAGAGCTTCTGAGGTCCGGGCAGCTGTTTCGAGTTCTCTCCCATGTTCCAGAAGGGTTTTGGGTTTGTGGTGTCCTGCTCAGCATCCAATGATTTAGCCAAATTCCGCAAAGAATTTAAGTGCTTTTCTGGGGTCATTCGATTTGTAAATGATCCAACATTTTCTTTTTCTTCCCAAATGTTGACCTTGGCTGTTTCTGTGACTTGTATCCCCACGACATTCTGGCCATCAGAGCTGAGCAAAAACAGGCTACCAGCTTCCATCTGACAGGTCTCTGGTGGGTGGCGGGAAAGATGATCTTGCTGGACTGATGAGTTAAAGGCGCACGAGGTTCTGGCAGTCTCCTGCCACCGGGAGGAGGCAGAAACATGACTGTTTGAGCCACCAAGGCCTGAGATGGCTGGGACAGAAGCCACCAAATCCTCATGTGGAGACAAGCTTTGAGGGACGGTGCCCAGTGGAAATGCCACTGAGTCACAGTGAGATGGAGTTATCAGTGTGGAGTCCCGCAGGGGAGGAGCAGTGAAGCCTTTTGGAGGAGGCAGAGAGCAGGCCAGAGGATCAGGGGTGTGTGGTGGGTGAGGGAAAAGTGCAGGTGGCTCGGGTGAGGGGTGTTCTAGGGGAAGGGAAGGTTCTGGTGGCTGGGAGGCACTTAGGGAGGAGACTGAGGTGGTCATTGGGCCTGGTGATGGGGTGGAGGCCAGATCCTGAGGATGCTTGGCTTGAGGATCCGGGGAAGCTAACGGGGAGAGAATGGGAGCAGCATCTTCCATAGGCTCATGAGAGGACTGGGAGGCTCCATCAGGTGCTCTTTCGCCCACCTCACCTGGGGGGTCTGGACCGGAGAGCTGACCAAAGTCACCTTTGTCAAGGTGTGGCCCCAGGAGGCTGCAGGAGACAGGAGGCACGAGCTGCAGCCAGGAGCCGGTGGGGCCGGAGGGCAGAGTGGGTGCTCGGGCCACAGCCCCTCCACCACCCCACACCCTGATTGCCCAATTCTCCTGCTACCCCTCGCCCCAGGGTTTTACTCCCATCCTCTGTCCCCCTGGTCTCCCCATCCCAGGTCAGCTCCAGGCTGCCTGTGGCCCTGGGGTCACGTCCCAGCCCTGGTAGGAAGGATGCAGGGAAGGGGAAGTGCCTCACCTCTGCAGTTGTGAAAGCAGGTCCGAAGTCTCCTCCAGGCCTCTCCGGCACTCTCTACCAGCTGGAAATCAGGAGACTGGGTTAGGGCAGTGAGGGAGGGGCCTGGGTTCTCACAGGAGGCTGAGTGGCTGTTTCTTTAGGGAGGACCATGGGGAATTAGACCCTGGACCCCACCCATCTGTGTCCAAAGCCACATGACCCCGACGTTAATAGCAAGGCATGGAGGACAGGGCTTTTTCATTCACAAAGGGCTTCCACACACGGACCCCCCACCCCCACAGTCCTCACAACTGCCCTGTGGGGAGAAAGGACTGAGGTGGTCTCAAAGAGGAATCAGCCTTAGCAGAGTTGGACAGCTGTTCCCAGGGAGCGGGAGGCCCCCTCACCCCCCTCCGCATCCAGGCAGGCATTGGTCTCCCCAGGACACACACACTGCCCCCTGCTGGGTAACGCCCAGTCCCTGGCCCACCATGGCTTCATTCCCGCATGGAATCTGAGAAGGACCCGGGGTTCTGATTTCCTTCCTAGGAGCCCCCACCTCAGGCTTCTTCAACTGACTTCTTCAGAGTCAGTTCCCTTCGGGACAGATGAGATCAAATTAACCCTAGTGTGCTCTGGCAGAGCCTTACCTCTCAGACTGTGGTTTTTCATCCTGCCTCTGGGCCTCCGCCTCCGCCCTACTGGACACTGGGAGACACGATGACGTACGGAGACAAGATGACGCGGAGAGACAAGATGACAATGGGAGACAAGAAAGGGTGAGAAGCTAGGACCGGCTCTCCCTCTCTGCCCCAGCCCAGCCGCAGCATGCTGCACTCAGGAACCGCATGGCTCTCTCTGTCTTGCTCAGGGAGCTCTGTGTGCTTCCTCCCACTCTTGTTTAAATGGATGATAAACTGCTTTTCTTCTTAGAAAAACAGCAAGAGGGGGCTGGGCGTGGTAGCTCACGCCTATAATCCAAGCACTTTGGGAGGCCAAGGTGGGTTGATCACCTGAGGTCAGGAGTTTGAGACCAGCCTGGCCATGGTGAAACCCCGTGTCTACTAAAAATACAAAAATTAGGCAGGCATGGTGGTGGGCGCCTGTAATCCCCAGCTATTCAGGACTCTAAGACAGGAGAATCGCTTGAACTCAGGAAGCAGAGGTTGCAGTGAGCCGATATCACTCCATTTCACTGCAACCTGCACCACAGAGCGAGACTCCATCTCAAAAAATAAAATAAAATAAAATAAAATAAAATAAAATAAAATAAAATAAAAATAACACACACAAATAAAATAAAAATACACACACACACACACACACACACACACACACACACAGAGGGATTTTCAATATGAGGTCCACCACGGACACCTTCAGTCCCTGTTCCTCTGCTCCAGGAACACCCAAGTTCAGGCCCGCAGGCACTGCTGAGCTATCAGGTAGGATTCTGCTTCCCAGAAGACCAGAGGAGACACCAGGCCCTGGTGGGAGGCCCTCAGGGGCCCAGCACAGGCCCCAGATCACCCCACACAGGGGAGGCTGGGCCCTGAGCCACCTGCACCAGAAAGGGGCTGATGAGCCAGGGCTCAGGGCCTGGTCTCGGACAGAGACCTCCCCAGTCTCATGACTGGTACTGGTGCTGAGTCCACTGGTTTGATTTTGCCTTGATGCCTCCTGTGCTCCCCCACAGATGGACTGAGAGCTTGGGATGGAAATCCCAGTACACTATCTACCCCTACCAACCCCTGGCTGCCCTGCCTCTCCCTGGAAGGATGATGTTCTGGTCTCTTCTGAGACTTCCCATCATAGAAGGCTCTCCACTGGATTTGGAAAAGTGGAACTAATAATAAAAAGAAAGGAGAGAATCAAGCTCTGTGGGTTGGGACTGAGGGTTCCTTACCTTTCTCTTCCCAGGCGATGGTGAGGGTGGGTCATCACAACGGAAGTAAGATAAGTAGGGGAGTAATAGGAAGAAGAACCCCAGGGCAAACACCAAAGTGAGGAAGATATCCAACACCCATGGTGTGGAACTGGGGGCGTTTAGCGATGAGGCACTAAGTAATTTTAAAGGAAAGGGAAGATTCTCCATGTGAATAGGCGCGTTGCTTTCAAGCAACTGAGCTCTGGGCATCCCCGTGGGGACTAGGGACTGGGGCCCAGGCCTGCGTCACAGAGGTGGGGCCTTGATGTCACAAAGGGCTCCTTTGTTGGGGAGGGGCAGTGGGAGGGGGAGGCGCAGAGGGAGGGGGAGGTGCAGCAGGAGGGGGAGAGGGAGGGAGAGGGGCAGGGGAGGGGGAGACTGAGGCACAGCCCCTCCCCACCCCCCAAGCTGGGGATCCCTCCACCATCCCACCTTCTAGATCCCTCCTTCCCACTAAGTTTTGTCAGTGATAGCCAATTTTCTATTCTTTCTCCCTGGAATATAGATATTACCTGGTTCCTTTTATCTGTTGGAGACGGTGGCTTGAGGTTACCTATTTTATAGCCCTTGAAAATCTGAAGTTCTGAAATTTTGGCTATGTACCAGGGATTTTTATTCTCAGAATCTCGTTCATCCTCAACTCCAGCTTTTCCACACTATGTTTTTGTCTTGTATCAATCCAGGGACAAAATGTAAATTTCTTTTACTCTTATTTAGTTTTGCAAATTTTGAATAGTAAGTTTTAAAAAATTATTTCTATCTCACTTTCAATCAAAGGGAACTACCCACATACAATTAAGATTTTTTTTTGTCTTTTAAAATTTTATTTATGTACTTATGTATTTATTTTATTTTAACTTTCGGGATACATGTGCAGGACATGCAGTTTTCTTACATAGGCAAATATGTACCATGGTGATTTGCTGCACCTATCAACCCATCACTTAGGTATTAAACCCAGCATGCATTAGCTATTTTTCCTGATGCTCTCCCTACCACCGGCCCTCCCTCGACAGGTGCCAGGGTGTGTTGTTTCCCTCCCAGTGTCCATATGTTCTCATTGTTCGGCTCCCACTTGTAAGTGAGAACATGTGGTATTTGGTTTTCTGTTCCTGTGTTAGTTTGCTGAGGATAATGGCTTCCAGCTTCATCCATGTCCCCGCAAAGGACTTGATCTCATTCCTTTTTATGGCTGCATAGTATTCCATGGTGTATATGTACCACATTTTATTTATCCAGTCTATCATTGGTGGGCATTGGGTTGATTCCATGTCTTTGCTATTGGGAACAGTGCTGCAATAAACATACACGTGCATGTATCTTTGTAATAGAATGATTTATATTCCTTTGGATATACAATAATGGTATATCTGCCACAGCCTCTGTACTGCACTGTGGGAATTCTGCCCAGCGCAAACCACCCAGTCTCCCTAGCACTGGTGGGGGAAAACCACCGGCTAGACCCGCAGTAATGGCAGTCACCCTTCCCCCCAGGAACTTGGTCTTCTTAGGCAGACTCCAGGTGCTGTGCTAGCCAGTGGGGATTCCATGCCAGTGGGTCTTAGCTTGTGGGGTTCTGTGGGAGTGGGTCTGCTTGGCTCCCTGGCTTCAGCCCTCTTCTCATGGGAGTTGATGGATCTCCTGCTTCACTGGATTTCTGCAAGCCACCAGAGTACGCAGAAACTCCTACAGCTCAGTAACTGCCCAAGTGGCTGCCAGCTGGAGCCCCTGCTATGGGTCTGCACAGCTTTGTGCTTGGGACCTAAGGCCCTGGTGGTGTGGACTCACAAAGGGATTACCTGTTCTGGGGTTTGCAAAAATCTGTGGGTAAAGCACAGTTCCCCGGTTGGGTAGCACAATCCCTCACTGCCTCCCTTGGCTGGAGGAGGGAGGTCTCTTTGCCCTGTGTAGCTCTTGGGTGAACTGTCGCCCAACTCTGCTTTTCCTTGCTCTCCATGGGTCACACCAACTGCCTAGTCAGTCCCAATGAGGGAATCTGGATACCTCAGTTAGAAATGCAGAATTCACTCGCTGTTTATGTTTGTCTCAGTGGGGGCTGCAGAGTAGAGCTGTTTCTACTCAACCAACTTGGCCCCTCCCCCCAATTAAAATAATTAATATTCAAAATTTGTAATTCTAATTATGAAACAGTTATAAGTAGTTAAACCTTCAAGTGGTATTTCTGTAAATGTATAGCATTCACAGTTCTGGACTTGGTAATGCTTAAAGTGCACGATAACTTATGGGACTGCTACATAGGCATACCTCAGAGATACTGTGGGTTTGGTTTCAGGCCACTGTGGAGATGAGCTCTTTAGGGCAGTGCCCAATGGAAGTGCCATTGAGTCACATTGAGACGGAGTCAGAATGCAGTCCAGCAGTGGGGGAGCAATGAAGGCTTTTGGAGGAGGTGGAGGGCAGGCCAGACAATGGGGGTGGGTATGATGGGTGAGGGGAAAATGCAGGTGGCTTGGGTGAAGGGCGTTCTAGGGGAAGGGAAAATTCTGGTGGCCAGTTCTGCAATAAAACAAATATGGCAATAAGGCAAATCACACAGAATTTTTGGTTTCTCAGTGCATATAAAAGTTAGGTCTATACTATACTGTAGTCTATTAAGTGGGCAATACCATTATGTCTAAAAAAGTCAATGTACATACCTTAGTCAAAAATTATTTTACTGTTTAAAAATGCTATCGATCACCTGAGTCTTCAACATCATGATCTTTTTGCTGGTCAGTGGCCTTGCCTCAGTGTTGTGGCTGCTGACTCATCATGGTGGAAGCTGCTGGAGGTGAGGTGGCTGTGGCAATTTCTTAAAATAAGACAACAATGAAGTTTGCTACATCAGTTGACTATTTCTTTCAAGATTCCTCTGTAGCATGCAATGCTGTTTGATAGCATTTTACCCACAGTAGAGCTTCCTTCAAATCGGAGACAATCCTCTCAAACCCTACCACTGCTTTATCCACTAAGTTTATGCAATTTTCTAAATACTCTGTTGTCATTTCAACAAGATTCACAGCATCTACACCTGGAGTAGTTTCCATCTCAAGAAACCACTTTCTTTGCTCATCCAAGTTCTCATTTGTTAAAATTTTGTCATGAGATTTCAGCAATTCAGCCACATCTTAAGTTCTCTTCACATCTTTTAATCTTAGTTCTCTTGCTATTTCCACCACATCTGCAGTTACTTCTTGCACTGAAGTCTTGAACCCTCAAAGTCATCCATGAGGATTGGAATCAACTTCTTCCAAATTTCTTTTAATGTTGATATTTTGACCTCCTCCCATGAATCACAAATGTTCTTAATTTTAACCTCCTCCCATGAATTGCAAATGCTTCTAGAATGGTGAAACCTTTCTAGAAGGTTTTCAACTTACTTTGCCCAGATCTATCGAAGGAACTACTATACATGGTGGCTACAGCCTTATGAAATGTATTTCTCAGATAATCAGCCTTGAAAGTCTAAATTACTCATTGATCCATGGGCTGCAGAATGGATGTTGTATTAGCAGGCATGCAAACAGCTTTAATTTTCTTGTAGTTCTCCATCAGAGCTCTTGGGTGACCAGGTAAATTGTCAATGAACAATAATATTTTGAAAGAGATCTTTTTTTAAAGCAGTAGTTCTCAGGTGTGAGCTTAAAATATTCATGTCGTAACAGATGTGATGTCATTCAGGCTTTGTCCCATTTATAGAGCACAGGCAGAGTAGATGTAGCATAGTTCTTAAGGGCCCTAGAATTTTCAGAATGGTAGATGAGCTTTGGCTTCAGGTTAAGCCCCTAACAAAAGAGTCATCCTGTTCTTTGAAGCATTGAAGTCAGGCATTTATTTTGCTACCTGGCTGTAAAAGTCCTGGATGACATCCTCTTCCAATATAAGGCTGTTTTATCTGCAGTAAAAACCTTTGTTTAGTGTAGCCACCTTTGTTGCTTCTCTTAGCTGATCTTATGGATGACTTGCTGCAGCTTCTACATCAGCACTTGCTGCTTTTCCTTGCACTTTTATCTTATGGAGAAGACTTCTTTCCTTAAACCTCATGAACCAATCTCTGCTAGCTTCAAACTTTTTTTCTGTGGCTTCCCAACCTCTCTCAGCCTTCAGAGAATTAAGAAGAATTAGGTCCTTGCTCTCGATTAGGGTTTGGCTTAAGGAAATGTTGTGGTTGGTTTGATCTTCTATCCAAACCACTCAAACCTTCTCCATATCAGCGATAAGTCTCTTTCACTTTCATACCACTCATGTGTTCATTGGAGTAATACTTTTAATTTCCTTCAAGAACTTTTTCTTTTCATGCACAGTTTGGCTGTTAGGTGCAGGATGCCTAGTTTTTGGCCTGTTTCAGCTTTTAACATGCCTTCCTCACTCACCTTAATCATTTCTCACTTTTGATTTAAATAAGAGATGTGTGACTCTTACTTTCACTTGAACACATAGAGGCCTTTGTAGAGTTATTAATTGGCCTAATTTCAATATTCCTGTGTCTCAGAAAACAGGGAGACCTGAGGAGTTGGGGGGATGGAGGAAGGGCAGATCAATGGAACCATTCAGACACACATATGTATCAATTAGGCTCATTGTCTTTTGGAGCATGGTTTGTGATGCCCCAAAACAATGACAATAGTAATATTAATAATCACTGATCACAGATTACCGTAACAGATATAATAATAACAAAACATTTGAAATATTGCAAGAATTACAAAAATGTAACACAGAGATACAAAATAAGCACATGCTACCAGAAAAGTGGCACTGGTAGACTTGCTTGATGCAGGGTTGCCATAAACCTTCAACCTGTAAAAAATGCAATATCCGAGAAGCATAATAAAGTGAAGTGCAATAAAACAAGGTAAGCTTGTATATGTATGCATGCACACACCAGTACGCATCCACCTATCCACACACAAATCTTTGTACAAACAAATCCTGTATTTTCAATTCCAACAATACATCATTTGCACCTTAAAAATATCTGTCAACCTTGTAGTATCCTTTTCTGTCTTTGTTATCAGGGTAATGCTGGCCTCATAAAAAATGTTTGTATTCCCTCCTCTTCAACTTTTGGAAGAGTTTGTGAAGAAATGGTACTAATTCTTCTTTAAACATTTGCTAGACTTCTCCACTAAGCTATCTGGTCTTGGATTTTCCTTTTTCAGGAGCTTTTTGACCACTGACTCATTATTTTTACTCATTATTTGTGTTGATTTTCTATTTCTTCATGTTTCAATCTTAGGGGATGTATGTTTCTAGAAATTTCTCTATTTCTTCTAAGTTAAACAATTTGTTGACACATAGTTGTTTAGACTGTTATTATCCTTTGTGTTTCTATGGTACCAATTTTAATATCTGCTTTTTTGTTCTAATTTTATTTATTTGAGGCTTCTCTCTTTTTTCTTAGCCTAGTGAAAGGTTGGTCAATTTTTATTATTTTTATTTTATTTTATTTTATTTTTTTGAGACTCAGTCTGGCTCTGTCTCCCAGGCTGTAGTGCAGTGGCGCAATCTCCGCTCACTGCAAGCTCTGCCTCCTGGGTTCATGCCATTCCCCTGCCTCAGCCTCCCAAGTAGCTGGGACTACAGGCGCACGCTGCCCGGCTCTGCTAATTTTTTGTATATTTAGTAGAGGCGGGGTTTCACCATGTTAGCCAGGATGGTCTTGATCTCTGACCTCGTGATCTGCCCGCCTCCCAAAGTGCTGGGATTACAGGCATGAGCCACCGCGCCCAGCCATTATGTTTTTTTTTTTTTTTTTTTTTTTGAGACGGAGTCTCGCTCTGTCGCCCAGGCTGGAGTGCAGTGGCGGGATCTCGGCTCACTGCAAGCTCCGCCTCCCGGGTTCACGCCATTCTCCTGCCTCAGCCTCCCAAGTAGCTGGGACTACAGGCGCCCGCCACTACGCCCGGCTAATTTTTTGTATTTTTTAGTAGAGACGGGGTTTCACCGTTTTAGCCGGGATGGTCTCGATCTCCTGACCTCGTGATCCGCCCGCCTCGGCCTCCCAAAGTGCTGGGATTACAGGCGTGAGCCACCGCGCCCGGCCTATGTTTTCAAAAAATCAGCTTTTTGTTTCATTGATCTTTTCTATTGTTTTTCTAGTGTATTTCATTTACTTCTGCTATCATCTTTGTTATTTCCTTCCTTCTTCTAATTTTGGGCTTCATTTTTTTTTTCTTTTCTATTTCTTTGAGGTTTATTGTTTATTTGAGATCTTTTTTCTTCATTTAGCACTTAACCTGTATAAACTTCCCTGTTAGAATTGCTTTTGCTTCATCTCATAAGTTTTAGTATGTTGTGCTTTCATTTTAGTTTGTCTCAAGATATTTTATTTCTTTTTTGATGTTTTCTTTGATCTATTGGTTGTTCAGGAGTGTGTTGGTTGATTTCCACATATTTGTCACTTTTCTAAGTTTTCTTCTGTTTTTAATTTTCAGTTTCATGCCACTGTGGTCAAAAAGAATACTTGATAAGATTTCAATCTTCTTAAATTTGCTAAGACTTGTTTTCTGGCCCAATATATGACCTGTGTAGGAGAATGTACTGTGTATGCTCAAGAATAATGTGTATTTTGCTGTTTTGGAAAGTAATGTCCTGTATATGTCTGGTCCATTTGATCTATAGTGTAGTTCAAGTCATCTGTTTCCTTATTGATTATCTGTCTGAGTGATCAATCCATTGTTGAAAGTGGGTTATGGAAGTCCCCAACTGTTATTGTATTATTGTTGTCACTTCTCTCTTCAGATTTGTTAATATTTGCTTTATACAATTAGGTGTTCCAATGTTGGGAGAATATATATTTGTAGTAATTATATCCTCTTGATGAATTGACCCTTGTATCATTCTATAATGACTTTCTTTCCCTCTTGTTACAGTTTTTGACTTAAAGTCTATTTTGTTTGTTGTAAGAATAGCTACTCTTTCTTTTTTTTTGTTCCCTGTCTTTCCTTTCAGTCTATGTGTGTCTCTAAAGGTGAAGTGAATCTCTTATAGGTGGCATATATTTGGTTATTGTTTTACTGTCCATTCAGCCACTCTGTGTCTTTTCTAATTTGGTCCACTGACATTTAAAGTAACTATTGATAGGCATTTTGCAGTTTCTTTGTTCTTTTATTTCTCTCTTGCTGTGCATGATTTGATTATTTTGATTATTTTCTGTAGTGGTATACTTTGATTCTTTTCTGTGTCTTTGTATTAATTCTTTTTTAAACATATGGTAAAATTCTCATTTGTGTAACTATTACATGTTTTGTCTTTGTGATTATCCTGAGGCTTCCATAAAACATCATATGCTCTCATGTGCCACATAAGGATGTTTTGGTCAATGATGGGCCACATATACAACGGTGGCCCTATAAGGTTATAACATTTTTATTGTATCTTTTATATGTTTAGATACATCTGGATACACAAATGCTTATCATTGTATTATAGTTGCCTATAGCATTCAGTATAGTACAATGCTGTACAGATTTGTAGCTTGGAAGCAATAGGTTATACCATATAGCCTGGGTGTGTAGTAGGTGGTATTATCTAATTTTGTGTAAGTATACTCTATGATATTCACACCATGACAAAATTGCATAATGAGGCATTATTCAGAACATATCCACATTAAGAAATGTATGATTATAGTTATAATGGTCTATTTTAAGTTGATAACAACTTAACTTCAAGCATATACAAAACCCTACACTTTACTCCCCTCCAGTTTTTATGTTTTTTTGATGTCAGCGTTTATTTCTTTGTTTATTTTGTAGTTATATTTATTTGTAATATTTTTTGTCTTTTAACCTTTTAAAAGTTAAAGTGATTATACTCCATCATTACAGTATTAGGAATATTTTGAATTTGACTGTATAGTTACTTTTACTGGTGACTTTTTATAACTACATATGTTTTTGTGATGCTAATTAGTCTTATTGCATTTCAGTTTGAAGAACTCCCTTTAGAATTTCTTATAAAGCAGGTCTAGTGACAATGGACTCCCTTAGATTATTTTGGGGGGTTTCTGAAAAAGTCTGTAAGTCCTAGCCAGAGCAATTAGGTAAGAAAAAGAAATAAAAGGCATCCAAACTGGAAAAGAAGTGAAAGTGTCTCTATTTGAAGATGACATGATCTCATATAGAGAAAATTCTAAAGGCTCCAATTAAAAACTGTTAAAATTAAGAAACAAGCAAATTTGCAGAACACATAATTAACATTAAAAAAAACCTGTTACGTTTTTATATACTAATAGTTGAGTATCCCAGAAAGAAATTAACAAAACAATCTCGGGCCGGGCACAGTGGCTCACGCCTGTAATCCCAGCACTTTGGGAGTCTGAGGTGGGCAGATCACAAGGTCAAGAGATCGAGACCATCTTGGCTAACACGGAGAAACCCTGTCTCTACTAAAAATAGAAAAAATTAGCTGGGCGTGGTGGCGGGAGGCTGAGGCAGGAGATTGGCGTGAACCCGGGAGGCAGAGCTTGCAGTGAGCCAAGATCACACCACTGCACTCCAGCCTGGGCGACAGAGTGAGAGTCCGTCTGAAAGAACACAATCTCATTTACAATACCATCAAAAAATTAACTACTTAGGAAGAAATTTAAATAAGACAGTAAAATTTGTATATACCAAAAACTATAAAACACTGATGAAAGAATTTGAAGAAGATACATATCCCTATTACTCAGCGCGATCTATAGATATAATGCAACCCCATCAAAATTTCAATGACATTTTTCAAAGAAATGGAAAAAAGCAGTTGTAAAATTTTTATGCAACCTCAAATGACCCCAGTCAAAACATCCTTCAGCAGAAAAAACAAAAGTGGAAGCATCACATTACCTTATTCCAAACTAAATTATAAAGCTATAGTAATCAAAATAGTATGCTACTGGCATAAAAACAGACATGTAGGCCAAGGGAACAGAATAGAGAGCATAGAAAGAAATAAATCCATGACTTTACAATCAATTGATCTCTAGCATTGGTGCCAAGAGTACACAATGATAAAATTTAGTCTCTTTATTAAATGGTGTTGGGAAAACTGGATATCCACATGCAGAAGAATGAAACTGAACCCTTATCTCACTGTACATACAAAAATTGTCTCAAAATGGATGAAAGACCTCAACATAGGACCAATATTGTAAGACTCTTAGATATAAATATCAGAGAAAAGCTCCTTGATACTGGTATTGGTAATAAATTTTCAGATTTGATACCAAAAGTATAGACAACAAAAGCAAAAATAGACAAATGGGAGTAAATCAAACTAAAAGCTTCAGCACAGCAAAGGAGACAACCAATACAATGAAAAGATAACCTAAAGAATGGGAGAAAATATTTACACACTATACATCTGATAAGAAGTTAATATCCAAATAAATTAGGAACTCAGACAATTCCAAAGGATCTTGTATTAGTCTGTTTTCATGATGCTGATAAAGACATACCAGAGACTGGGTAATTTATAAAGAAAAAGGTTTGGCCAGACACGGTGGCTCACGCCTGTAATCCCAGCACTTTGGGAGGCCGAGGCAGGCAGATCATGAGGTCAGGAGATTGAGATCATCCTGGCTAACATGGTGAAATCCTGTCTCTATTAAAAATACAAAAAATTAGCCAGGTGTGGTGGTGGGTGCCTGTAGTCCCAGCTACTTGGGAGGCTGAGGCAGAAGAATGGCGTGAACCTTGGAGGTGGAGCTTGCAGTGAGCAGAGATCGCGCCACTGCACTCCAGCCTGGGTGACAGAGCCAGACTCCATCTCCAAAAAAAAAAAGAGGTTTAATGGATTCACAGTTCCACGTAGCTGGGGAGGCCTCACAATCACAGTGGAAGGTGAAAGTCATGTCTTACATGACAGCCAGCAAGACAGGATGAAAGCCAAGCAAAAGGGGAAACCCGTTATAAAGCAATCAGATCTCATGAGACTTATTTACTACCACGGGAACAGTATGGGAGAAACTGCCCCCATGATTCAATTGTCTTCCACCAGGTCCCTCCCACAACATGTGGGAATTATGGGAACTACAATTCAAGAGGAGATTTGGGTAGGGACACAGCCGAATCATATCATTCTGCCCCAGCTCCTCCCAAATTTCATGTCTTCACATTTGAAAACAAATTATGCCTTCCCAACAGTCCCTCAACATCTTAACTAATTTCAGTATTAACTCAAAAGTCCACAGTCCAAAGTCTTATCTGAGACAAGGCAAGTCCCTTCCAGCTATGAACTCATAAAGTTAAAAGCAAGTTAGTTACTTTCCAGATACAATGGAGGTATAGGGAGCAGGTAAACATACCTGTTCCAAATGGGTGAATTTGGCCAAAACAAAGGGGCTACAGGCCCCAAGTCCAAAGTCCAGCAGGCCTGTCAAATCTTAAAGCTCCAAAATGAACTCCTTTGACTCCATGTCTCACATCCAGGTCACACTTATGCAAGAGGTGGGCTCCCATGGCCTTGGGCAGCTCCACCCCTGTGGCTTTGCAGGACATAGCCCCCCTCTTGGTTGCTTTCATGGACTGGCATTGTCTGTAGCCTTCCTGTGTGCATGATCAAGCTTTTGGTGGCTGTACCATTCTGGGGTCCGGAGGACAGTGGCCTTCTTCTCACAGCTCCAGTAGGCAGTACCTCAGTGGGGACTCTGTGTGGGGGCTTCAACCCCATATTTCCCTTCTGCACTGTCCTAGCAGAGGTTTTCCATTAGGGCACCACCTCTGCAGCAAAATTCTTTCTGGACATCTAGGAGTTTCCATACATCCTCTGAAATCTAGGCAGAGATTCCCAAACCTCAATTCTTGACTTCTGTGCACCCACAGGCTCAGCACCATGTGAAACTGCCAAGGTTTGGGGCTTGCACCACCTGAATCCACAGTCCAAGCTGTACCTTGGACCCTTTTAGCCATGGCTACAGTAGCTGGGATGCAGGGCATCAAGTCACTAGGTGGCAAACAGCAGGGGGCCCCTGAAACCAGCCCAGGAAACCATTTTTTCCTTTTAGGCCTCTTGGCCTGTAATGGGAGGGACTGCTGCAAAGGTCTCTGACATGTCCTGGAGATATTTTCCCCATTGTCTTGGTGATGAACATTTGGGTCCTTGTTGCTTATGCAAATTTCTGCAGCCGGCTTGAATTTCTCCTCAGAAAATTCGTTTTTCTTTTCTATCACATCATTTGGCTGCAAATTTTCCAAAGTTTTATGCTGTTTCCTTTTAAAACTGAATGCTTTTAACAGCACCCAAGTCACCTCTTGAGTGCTTTGCTGCTTAGAAATTTATTCTGCCAGCTACCCTAAATCATCTCCCTCAAGTTCAAAGTTCCACACATCTCCAGGGCAGGAGCAAAATGCTGCCAGTCTCTTTGCTAAAACATAGCAAGATTTTCCTTGACTCCAGTTCCCAACAAGTTCCTCATCACTATCTGAGACAACCTCAGCCTGAATTTCATTGTCCATATCATTATTAGCATTTTGGTCAAAGCTAGTCAACAAATCTCTAGGGAGTTCCAAACTTTTTCACATTTTTCTGTCTTTTTCTGAGCCCTCCAAACTGTTCCAACCCCTGCCTGTTACCCAGTTCCGAAGTTGGTTCCACATTTTTGGATAACTTTACAGCAGCACCCCACTCTACCAGTACCAATTTACTGTATTCATCTGTTTGCATGCTGCTGATAAAGGCATACCAAAGACTGTGTGATTTATAAAGAAAAAGAGGTTTAATGGACTCACAGTTCCATGAGGCTGGGGAGGCCTTACTTATGGTGGGAGGCTAAAGGCACATATTACACAGCAGCAGGCAAGACAGAATGAAAGCCAAGTGAAAAAGGAAATCCCTTATAAAACAATCGGATCTTGTGAGGCTTATTTACTACCACAAAAACAGTATGGGGAAAACCGCTCCCATGATTCAACTATCTCCTACTGGGTCCCTCCCATAACACATGGGAATTATGGGAGCTACAATTCAACATGCGATTTGGGTGGGGATGCAGCCAAAGCATATCAGACCTGAAGAGATACATTTCTAAAGGACATACGATTGACAATAGGTATATATTAAGAAAAAGATGTTTGCCATCACTAATCAGCAGGAAAATGCACAATGAGATATCACCTCGCATCTATTAGGATGGCTTTTATAACAGTAAAAAGGTAACAAATGTTGCTGAGGATATTGAGAAACAGAAACCCTTGTGCTTAGTTGATAGTTGATGGGAATGTAAATTGGTACAGCCATTACAGACAACAGTATGTAGTTTCCTCAAAAAATTAAAAATGGAACTCCCATATAATCCAGCAATCTCACATCTGGGTATATATCCAAAGTAAAGAAAATCACTATCTCAGAGAGATATATATACTTACATGTTTATTACAGTGTTATTTACACAGCCAAGGTATGGAAACTACCTGTGTCCATTGACAGATGAATGGATGTTTTAAATGTATTACACACACACACACACACAGACACACACACATATGTAATGGAATATCATTTAGCCTTTAAAAATGAGGAAATACTGCCATTTGTAACGAGATGGATAAACCTGGAGTTTATTATGGTAAGTAAAATAAGCCAGGAACAGATGCAAAAAAATCCTGCATGATTTCACTTATATGCATACTAAGAAAATGTCAAACTCATGGTAAGAGAGTAAAATAGTGCTTACTAGGGCCTGGGAGTTGGGGGAAAAGAAAAAATGTTTGTCAGAAAGTACAAACTTTCAGTTATAAGATGAATAAGTTCTGGAGATCTAATGTACAGCATAGTGACTAAAGTCAATAATAATGTATACTTGAAATTTGCTGAAAGAGTAGATCTCAAGTGTTCTCCACCACACAAACACAAATAAAAAGGTAGCCAGGTGAGGTGATGAATATGTTAGCTTGATTGTGGTAATCATCACTTCACAATGTATATGTATATCAAAATATCACACTGCATACCTTAACTATATACAATTTTTCTTTGTTAATCAATAAAACTGGCAAAAATATCTTTTACATGTTGCCTTGACTCCATTTCTTATTTTGTCAAAATAGATAGTCCTCACTGTTTGCATAAGTTTAGAAACTTGTGCTACATCCAGAAGTCAGGAGTGCGGTAGGGTGAACTAAGTTACTGATTCTTTAGGAACCTTAGGGTGTGAGGTGGGACTGGAGTTCAAGGTCTAGGAGCTCAGTCTGGTCTTGAGCAGCTTCTTTTTTATTTTGTTTTGTTTTGCTTTGAGACTGGGTCTCACATTCTTGCCCAGGCTGGAGTGCAGTGGCAAAATCTGGGCTCTCTGTAACCTCCACCTCCCGGGCTCAAGCAATCCTCTCACCTCAGCCTCCCATGTAACGGGAACCACAGGCATGTGCCACTATGGCTAGCGAATTTTTTTGTATTTTTGGTAGAGATGGGGTTTCCCTTGCTGCCCAGGCTGGTCCTGAACTCCTGAGCTCAGGTGATCCACCCACCTTGGCCTCCCATAGTGCTGGGATTACAGGTATGAGCCACCATGCCTGGCCATGAGCAGCCTCTTCTGATATCCCTAGTGTGTTCTGTACACATTTTCTTTGTCTGAATGCGCCTTTCCTTTCTCTCTATTGGTCTACAGATTTTTTCCTTCTTTAGGATATTATTAACTTGAATTCAAATTTTTATCAAAAATTGGACCTAGCTCTTTTTATTCATATTTTCCTGCTATATTTTTTACACTAATTTATTTTCGATAGGTTTTATTGAGTGTTTTTTTGACACTTAAAAATTTTACCTGACAATCTTAACCTTTGATTTATGTAATTATTGTTCCATTATGAGTTATTTCTGTCATCTCATTTTATGATTTTTCATACTTTCTTTACTGTTTATTTTTTCCTATTGTACCTTTCACTGTATAGATCAAATCTTTTTCTATTTGTTTGAAATCTGGAAATTTTTAACATTGTAATGGTGGTTATATCATTATTTATGTTAATTTTCTCAATTTCTGATATGTGTCAAAATTAATATCATCTCAGCAAACAAGATAAGTGCTCTAGCTTCCTCTTGCCACCTCTGGTTTGCTTTCTCTGTTACGACAGCACTTTGTCTAAGGGGGTGCTTTCTGAAGTTTACTCGGGGTTGTTTTCAATATGTTATGTTTTCATTTATTTTTTAGAGTATGATAAACACCACTACCATTGATTCTGGAACCCTCAATTCTAACACCACGGTGTATTTCTCTTCTTAGTGGAGTATGACCTCTAAGCATTTTCAAAGGGATTTATTTGAAATAAAACTTTTGAGGCCTTACTTTTTAATGTCTTTTTCTGGGCTTTCATATTTAAAAGATTGTGGCTGCAAATAATTCAAGGATTAAAATTGGTTTCCTTTTAATCCTTGAAAAATATTACTTCATTTTATTCTTGTCTCCAGCATTGCTGTTGGAAAGGCTGACACCAATCAAAACCAATTTTTCCCTAAAGGATGATCTGTCTTCTCATCATTTTGACAGGATGTAACAAAACAAAGGAGTCTTCAATGTTCTGAGTATAAATCATTTTGCAATTATAAACTTAACTTAATATTAATGCAATACAAAAAGAATTAAAACCTTCTTGAGACATGCAAGTGCACAGGAAAATTAAGTATCATGCACTCATTCAGGAAGAAAAGGTGCAAAAGAAATTTAATGAAAGAGATGGTCGTTAGATGCAAGTGTGGCTGAATGTAGGGATGCGATGCTGACACGTGGCAGCAGGCCTGGCAAGCTGTCTATCCCAATTCAACTACTTCAGAAAGAGAAGAATATTAACTAGGCTATCTTGGTGATGTGCTGAAAAAAGTGCTGTGTTTCCTTTTTAATCATTCAAAACAAAGGTAGTAAAATTCCCGGGAAATAAGAAATAATGCATCATAAATGTATAAAAGTTGAGGAAAATACTATATTTTTATGAATTTAAAATGCCATCTCATTTAGATTGTTATGTCTTTTCAGAAGTGCTTTAAAATTGATGGCACATAGTAAAAAATGGCATAAATTCCAACAATTAATGGAAAAACATTAATCCATCTTCTTGAGTCTTGGAACCAGGATTCTTTTGGGAGGCTTCGGTGTATCTGTGTATCATTTCATTGCCTTCACACAAATCAAATCACGCCACCTGCGACTGTGGTTTGAAAAAAAAAGAAAACATAATAATGATGCTGTCAATTCACTTGAGATTCCATGATCAAAATTAACCTACGAACAAAGCACAGACTTTATTATAATTACAAAATAGGATGTAATTTACATAAAATGTGAAAATATAAGCATAGAATGAAATTTGATACAAGTCGAAAGCTATGACAGGGACTGTTGGAGGGGAGGGAAGTTGTACACTAATCTCCACATCCTACTGAGCCAATCAGTGGTGTTCAAATTGGATGGACCATATATTATCTAAACAGTATATTATTTAAGCAAAGAATTAAGCACTGTAAGTATATTATTTAGAGAAAGCAAATTTTTTAAAAATCCCATAAAATTATATATTAAAGACTAAATTGGAAATATAGTTTTAGAAGAAGAAAGTAGGGTAAATGAGCTATATTCTCTACCGTTTATAAAAAGTCAAGGGATATTACTTAAAATTGTTAAAACAAAATTAGGTGATTGTATAATATTATTTACAGTTCAAGAGAATAGCATATAGTAAAAAAAGAAAATGATAAACCTTGCCTAACTCTGAAAAACAGGACCAAGGTCTATGGAAGGAAAAAAAAAGTTTCTGGTTTTCACTGGTTTTTTGCCCATCAAACTGTTTGAATGATTTTCAATGCACATGTGTTGGTTTAATTTTAAAATGTTCTTACTTACAGATCCCCTTGAATTACGTGTAAAATTAGGTTTCCTTTAGTCAATGGTGTATGAAAAGTAATCAACTCATCTAATTGAAGTTAGACATTAATAAATAATAAATTGGGGAGAACATAAATATACTCATTAAAAACAACCAGAACATAGCACTTGGCTGTATGTTCTGCTTATCTAGGAAGTGGAATTCTTAAAATTAAAACAAAATAATAAGGAGCTTCACATTTTCTTTTTCTTCTTTTTTTTTTTTTTTTTTTTGAGATGGAGTCTTGCTCTGTCGCCCAGGCTGGAGTGCAGTGGCACAATCTTGGCTCACTGCAACCTTCACCTCCCGGGTTCAAGCGATTCTCCTGCCTCAGCCTCCCGAGTAGCTGGGACTACATGTGCGCATCACCACGCCCAGCTAATTTTTGTATTTTTAGTAGAGACGGGGTTTCACCAGATTGGACAGGATGGTCTCGATCTCTTGACCTTGTGATCCACCTGCCTCGGCCTCCCAACGAGCTGGGATTACAGGCATGAGCCACTGCACTTGGTCGGAGTTTCACATTTTCTGAAAAATGTTGGAAATAAAAATGCAAGTGTTTCACTTAGATAAAGCTCTCATAATCACTGGTAGACTAAAGTCAATTTAGATTACCATTTATATTTTCAAATTTATAATATGACCAATATTGCCATCAAAATGTTCAGGCACAGAATGGTTTAAAGTAGCTGTCTTATTATTTCTCAATATTCTCTTTTCTTCTATGATTGGCATCACCAATCATGGTTGGAGCATCTTTTTTTTATTTTATTTTTTATTTTATTTTATTTATTTATTTTGAGACGGAGTCTCACTGTGTTGCCCAGGCTGGAGTGCAGTGGCGTGATCTCGGCTGACTGCAAGCTCCACCTCCCAGGTTCTCACCATTCTCCTGCCTCAGCCTCCCGAGTAGCTGGCACTACATGTGCACACCACCATGCCCAGCTAATTGTTTGTATTTTTTAGTAGAGACAGAATTTCACCGTGTTAGCCAGGATAGTCTCAATCTCCTGACTTCGTGATCTGCCCGCCTCAGCCTCCCAAAGTGCTGGGATTACAGGCTTGAGCCACCGCACCCAGCCATGGTTGGAGCATCTTACCAAAGAACTATACTTGTAGTTTTTGAGTGGAAACAAGGGAGAAATTTTATTCATGCCTTGACCTAATTAATAATGCGTAACTAGATTGTGATGGCCATTATCAATAGAACTGTCATCCGATTCAAAGAGCACTGGGCCGGGCGCGGTGGCTCACGCCTGTAATCCCAGCACTTTGGGAGGCCGAGGCGGGTGAATCATGAGGTCAGGAGATCGAGACCATCCTGTCTAACAAGGTGAAACCCCGTCTCTACTAAAAATACAAAAAATTAGCCGGGCGCGGTGGCGGGCGCCTGTAGTCCCAGCTAGTCGGGAGGCTGAGGCAGGAGAATGGCGTGAACCCGGGAAGCGGAGCTTGCAGTGAGCCGAGATTGCGCCACTGCAGTCCGCAGTCCGGCCTGGGCGACAGAGCGAGACTCCGTCTCAAAAAAAAAAAAAAGATTCAAAGAGCACTGTTTGTCTCCTCTAATATGGAGAAATGCCACAAATAAGTGGGAAATAATTTAATGACTGTAGTTCATTTTTAATCATATAGCTGAGTGATATTTTAAGTCTGACAAGAATAGATATTTGAACAAAAATAGCCAATTCTCTGTTACATAATTTAATACATTTGTGTTAAGAGGTTTAGACAATAAAGTTAATTTTGAAATGCATTATAAATAACTGAGTAATTAGCAATCATTAAGTTTATTTTTAAATAAGTATTTAGATAACTAATTAGCAATCATTAAGTTCATTTTTAAATAACTGTTTAGTCCACAAAAAATAAAAAATATATTTTAGAAAGGGAGGGCATTCCAAAATCTGTCTCAGGAGCATTCAATCTCAAATATATTTTAATGAAGCAGAAATGTAAATACATGTTTAGATAATTTAGGTTAAAAAAGGTAAATTTTGGTTGCCTGCTTAACTTTTATGAAACAGATATTTTTCATTCAAGTCCAGCATATATTTTGCTATGACTTTCACATCCTTTCCTCAGAGACTATTTACCTAAACATTAGGGTACCAAAGGAACTAGGAAACAAAAACTTGTTAGAGAGAGAAATTTTAAGTGAGGCACACATTCTGGTGATATTAATTTGTTTTTGACATTTTATTAATATTTTGAGAACACTAAGAAAATAAAATCCAAAGGGGCAAGCAGGTATCATTGTCTCAGCCTGGGCCCTCTTTTGTCATCCTCTGTAAGATGGCAGTCATCAAAGAGCGTGACCCAAGAAGAAAGTAAAACAGTGGAACAAATGAGCATTTCTCTAAATACAAACAGTAGAGTCCCTGAGAAAGAATCCTTTAAGGCCTTAGATTTCTTTAAACATTTTTAGATAAATAGTCTGGCCTATGCAGAACAAAATGAAATGGTGATAATGAACAGGATAGTGAAGTTTTGTACTAACTGACATAAACGACAAGTTGATTAATGCTTAGGATAGTGTGAAAGAAGAATTGAAAGCAAAATGCAAATCAAAAGAAGAAATACCCAGACAGACTCTTTCCTAAAACATGCATCATAAAATATTTAAAAGCATCTGCTTTAATGCATGGGCTGAGTCAAAGTAAGGCAAATTTTCAGATATCTACAAGAGCAAAAAAAATTTGAATCCAGAGGTGTGAGTGTCTCATCTGGCATTTGCCCTGGGGTGTCTCCCAGGAACTATTGGCCCAGAACCATGAGCACCTAATTCAGGAGACAGAGACTGATGCCCATGCAGGGAGGAATATAGGCTAAAATGCCTTCTGCATAAATCTAGGATTTCTAAAAAGAAGCATGTTAAGTGGGGCTAGGAAAATCCCACTCCCATAAGAAGAAAGTGAAAATCTATGCTTGTCTTGGTTTCAATAGGGTAGACAAGAAAAAAGAAAAAAAAAATGGTAATTTCTAAGTATGTCTAAGTCAATAGACATATGGGTTTGGATTTGAATTCACACTATCTATGGGCCTGAGAAATACCAGGATGGAAATTAGCCTCTGGCAGTGAGAGGTTAGGCCAGCTGCACTTCCTGGGTCGAGTGCGGACTTGGGGAACTTTCCTGTCCTACAAGGAATTTGTAAAATGCACCAATCAGCCTCTGTAAAACACACCAATCAGCAGGATTCTAAAAGTAGTCAATAGTGGAGAGGATTGAAAAAAGGGCACTCTGATAAGACAGAAACGCAACATGGGTGGGAAGAAATAAGGGGATAAAAGCTGGCCACCCGCAACCAGCAGCAGCAACCAGGTGGGGTCACCTTCCAGGGTGTGGAAGTTTTGTTCTTTCGCTCTCAGCAATAAACCTTCCTAGGCTCACTTTTTGGTTCCGTGCCATCTTTAAGAACTGTAACACTCACCAGAAAGGTCCACAGCTGCATTCTTGAAGTCAGGGAGACCACGAACCCACCGAAGGAACCAACTCTGGACACAGTCCTGCAAACTAGTTAATCTGAGTACAATCATAAAGAGAAATATATTTTGCACTAATACTGGGAAACAGATTTTGTAACACAGCTTTCATTGTTGTTAAGTGAAGATAGTATATTTTACAATAAGCAACACTGGGACCACTGATCTCCATAAGGGAAAAAAATGAAATTGAAACTTAATCCCGGAGAACAAACATAAAAATATATTTTAACGGATAAAGATAGCTTCTCAACATTTTTAGAAAAAAACCTGGGAATAATTATTTTTTTCTTTTTTGAGATGGAGTCGCTCTGTTGCCCAGGCTGGAGTGCAGTGGCGCGGTCTCGGCTCACTGCAAGCTCCATCTCCTCTCCCATGTTCCTGCCATTCTCCTGCTTGAGCCTCCGGAGTAGCTGGGACTACAGGCGCCCGCCACCCCGCCTGGACTAATTTTTTGTATTTTTAGTAGAGACAGGGTTTCACCGTGGTAGCCAGGATGGTCTCGATCTCCTGACCTTGTGATCTGCCCACCTCGGCCTCCCAAAGTGCTGAGATTACAGGCGTGAGCCACCGCGCCTGGCCATATCTTTTATCTTTACATGGGGAAGAAGAACAAACTGAAAGAGGAAAAATTGATTTGATAACACAAAAATTTAATACTTCTGTTTATTAAAGGATACTGCAATGTGAAAAAAAATACCCAAAACTTGGCGGAGCTATTTGCAACACATCTTACCTAGAAAGGTCTGGTATCCAGAATATGCCTCCTATAAATAAGTGAAAAATAACATGTCTGTTGAGAAGTTAGCACAAATACCCCATAAGCATGTAAAAAGTGCTCAACCTCATAATAATCATGAAAATGAAAATTAACAATTAGATATCCTTTCATACATATTGACAATTTTTTTTTTGAAGTTCCGAAACGTGTGGTATTGGCAAGGATAAAGAACCACGGAAGTATTCATCCCACACACTAAAGTAGGACAGCCATTTGGAAAACAGACAGATGCTGGCTCATACAGCTGATCATAACGTACCCTATGACCCAGTGACTTCACTACAACCTAGTGCAACCTAGTCAGCCTGTTACAGGCCCCAGAAAAATTCTTGCGTTTGTTTACCTAGAGGTGTATGAGAATGTTCCCAATTTTAAAAACCTGGAAACAATCTAGTTATCTCTCAATATGGGTAGATAGTGGACTGGGTAACTAAATGATCATATATTCCGATAATAGAGTACCTCGCAGCACTAAGAGTGAATGAACTGCAGCTATTCACATTCTCAAATACAGCACTGCAATGAGATACTACTGCATGCGTATTAGAATGGCAAAAATCCAGAACCCTGACAACACCAAATGCTGATGAGGATGTGAAGCAACAGGAGCTCTCATTCAGTGCTGATAGAAATACAAAATGGAGAACAGTTTTGTGGCTTCTTAGAAAACTAAATCTACTCTTATTATACGACCCAGCAATCTTGCTTCTTGGTATATATCCAAAGGAGTTGAAAACTTATGTCCACACAGAAACCTGCACACAGATGTTTATGGAAGCTTTATTTATAATTGCAAAAACTTGGAGACAAGCAAGATTTCCTTCAGTAGGTGAATTAACAAACTGTGGTACATCCAGACAATTGAATATCATTCAATGATAAAATAAATGAGATGTTGGCCGGGTGCGATGGCTCACGCTTGTAATCCCAGCACTTTGGGAGGCCGAGGCAGGCAGATCACGAGGTCAGCACATAGAGACCATCCTGGCTACCACGGTGAAACCCCGTCGCTACTAAAAATACAAAAACTTAGCCAGGTGCAGTGGCAGGTGCCTGTAGTCCCAGCTACACGGGAGGCTGAGGCAGGAGAATGGCGTGAACCCGGGAGGTGGAGCTTGGCTTGCAGTGAGTGGAGATCACGCCACTGCCCTCCAGCCTGGGCGACAGAGCAAGACTCCCTCTAAAAAAAAAATATAAAAAAAATAAATAAAATAAAAAATAAAAAGAGCTGTCAAGCCACGAAAAGACACAGAGGACGCTTATATGCATATTACAAAGTGAAAGAAGCCAATCTAAAACGGCTACATACTGTCACTTACAACTATATGACCTTTCTGGAAAAGGTAAAACTATAGAGATAGAAAAAAAAAAAAATCAGTGGTTTCCAGGAGTTAGGAGGAAGAGAGGAATGAATAACTAGAGCACAGAGGATGTGTAGGGCCCTGAAAGTACATGTATGATATTTTAATAGTGAATACTTGTCATTGTAAATTTGTCCAAGCCCGAGTGTGAACCTTAATGCAAACTATAAGATGTATCATGTATCATTAATTGTAACAAATGCAGCACTCTGGTGGGGGGCGTTTATCATGAGAGAAGCTATGCATGTGTGGGGGGCAGGGAGTATATGGGAAATCTATACCTTCTGCTCAGTTTTGCTGTGAACTTTAAACTGCTCTAAAAAATAATGTGTGTGTACATGTATATATATATATGCATACACATGTTTGTGTGTATGCATATCTAATCACAAGAAACAATACATAGTTGGCCAGGCACGGTGGCTCACGCCCGTAATCCCAGCACTTTGGGAGGCCGAGGTGGGCAGATCATGAGGTCAGGAGATCGAGACCATCCTGGCTAACACGGTGAAACCCCATCTCTACTAAAAAAAATATAAAAAATTAGCCAGGCGTGGTGGTGGGCACCTGTAGTCCCAGCTACTCGGGAGGCTGAGGCAGGAGAATGGCATGAACCCGGGAGGCGGAGCTTGCAGTAAGCGGAGATCACGCCACTGCACTCCAGCCTGGGCAACAGAGGGAGACTCCGTCTCAGAAAAAAAAAACAAGAAACAATACACAGTTTCACTTATTAAAAAAGTCAAACATGTGCAAAACTAAACAATATGCAAGTCTATAATGACAAGCAATGGAATGATTAACAGGAAGTTAGGGATAGTGGTTACCTCTTGTGGAAAGAGTGAGTGGCATTGAAGAAGGGCAATGGGAGTTTCTAAGATACTGGAAATATTCTATTTCATAACCTGAAGGAAGGGCGCATATGCTCATTTTATATTCTTCTTAAGCTGTACACACACACTTTTATATTTATGATCTATTTCATTAACAAGACATATATATGCATTTGTAAATAAGTGAGATTAACACATTTTTGGATACATATAATTTATCAAAGTTGACTCAAATAATTAGAAAATCTAGATGGAAATCATACCATTAAAGTAATTGAGTTAATAATTAATAATTCTACAAAGAAAACATGATGCCCAGATGATGTCACCAGTAGTTCCAATGTTACACTAATAATCTGCGAGGGGAAAAAAAAGAGACCATTCTTTAATTCATATGATACTAGGATAACCTTGCTATGGTGTACCTCATCCATGCACACAGACAAATAGTGTAAACAAAATACTAGGAAGTATACCTAGCAAAGTATAAAAACCATGAACAAGCTCGGTTAGTAATGCAAATTTAGTTCAGTGTTAGAAAATCTACTGAAATTATCTCCTTATCAACAAATTAAAGACAAAAATTATATGATTGTCTCAAAAGGCCTATAAAATTATTTTACAGCTGGGCACAGTGGCTCACGTCTGTAATCCCAGCACTTTGGGAGGCTGAGGCGGGTGGATCACGAGGTCAGGAGATTGAGACCATCCTGGCTAACACAATGAAACCCTGTCTCTACTAAAAAAAAAAAAAAATTAGCTGGACATGGAGGCGGGCGCCTGTAGTCCCAGCTACTCGGGAGGCTGAGCCAGAAGAAAGGTGTGAATCCGGGAGGCGGAGCTTGCAGTGAGCCGAGATCCCGCCACTGCACTCCAGCCTGGGCCACAAAGTGAGAATCCCTCTCAAAAAAAAAAAAAAAAAAAAATTTACAAAAATTAAATTATTGATATTTCCACCTATGAATAAAGGGTAACTTCCTTAACCTGATAAAAGGAGTCGACAAATAACCTACAGCACCTATCATGTTTTGTGATTAAAAATATTGAAATCACTCCTTTTAAAATCAAGAAAAAGACAAGAGTACCATTGTCACTAAACTGCTTCCAAAGCTTATATGGAAGAGAAAAGGGCCCAGTATAACTAAGACAATCCCATAGAAGACTAAAGTGTGCGAAGGTGGGAGGTGGAGCTTATGTGAGTCTATCTCGTACCAGATTTGCTGTGAAGTTATAATTACCACAGCAGATATTGCTATTGTGAAAGTGTATGCTTGTGTGAAATCTTGATGTATGTCCTGGCTAACATTACAGAACAGTCAGAAAGGGTCTATATAGTCCATGGTATGAGCAATTGGTATCCATATGGGAAAATATCAGAATGCATCTCTATCACAAAAATGGATCCCTATCACACAAAGGCCAGATCTAAATGGACAAAGGACTTAAATTTGAGATGCAAATATTTAAAAATCTTTTAGAAGAAAATATAAGAGGGTAACTTATTACATGCCACACCTACTATGTGTACTTTGTATGATGCAAGTGTTGGATATGAGTGTAGTATGTAAGTGTAGATGCCTCTAAGCAGTATATGCATGCTTGCTACTTTACACACGTGAAACACTGGGAATGGGAGCATGAGAGGAAACCCTAGGTCATTCTGGTCTCCAGACTGCTGCTCCTGCCCACCCCCGGTTCCAGCACTCCCTTCCCCATTCTCCTATCCAGATCCTCTGTTCCAGGCACAGCCACTTACAGCAGCTCAAGCCAGTGGCACCCACGGAGAGGCCCTCTTCACCCTACTGCTGGGCTGTCATGTCCCCTTTCTTTTCTTTCTGAAAAACAGTTTTCTCTGACTATGACTCCTCATGTTTCACTCTCTCTAAAGCACACGGAAGCCTGGTTCCCTCCTCTGCTTTATCAGACCTGTTGCTGTGAGTTCCACTAGTGACCCTGCATGACAAATTCGGAGGTTTGCTCCCTTTTGCATAGCGTAAAATGTTTACCTCGTGACATACTTGATAAATACAATTTTATAATTGTTAAGCTATCTATATATTCTGTATCTGTTTCAAAAATTATTTATAGGCCAGGCAAGGTGGTTCATGCCTGTAATCTCAGCAGTTTGGGAGGCTGAGGCGAGAGGATCATGAGGTCAGGAGATCGAGGCCATCCTGGACAACATGGTGAAACTCTGTCTCTACTAAAAATACAAAAATTAGCTGGGTGTGGCAGCATGCACCTGTAATCCCAGCTACTCAGGAGGCTGAGGCAGGAGAAACGCTTGAACCCAGGAGGCGGAGATTGCAGTGAGCCAAGATCGTGCCACTGCACTCCAGCCTGGCGACAGAGCGAGACTGCGTCTTCAGCCCCCCCAAAAATATAAAGACAATGTCAATTATGCCACACATAGGTTGTTTTTATTCCATAATATTGCTCTCCATATGTGTAATATGTTTCTACTTCACACATAGTTTTGATCAAAGATTAATCTATTGCACAGATATTTTTCTCAGTAATTAATAAAACTCAGCTTGGATTTCTTTAGCCAGATAAAACACCTTATACTAAGTGAATCAATCAAAGCTCTTTGTTGGAGTGAGATCTGAAAACTTCCGCTCAAGCTGGCTGCCTCAGCTTCACGGCATCAAATAATGGAGGGAGAAGTGGAGGCTGACATGCAGCAAGAATGACTGTGTGTGTGCTGGAGAGATATTTTGTTTAATTCATTTACAAGATACTCATGCCACACTGCTACGTGCCAAATAGCTGTTCTTGCTACTTGGCAAAAATTAATCATCTAATAGTTGAAAAGTTAATTGTTGTAATGTGACTTCAGTACGGCCAATCTCCAGGATTGAGAGCCAAAAAAAAGCATCACCATCATGATTGAGAAATGGAGTTACTGGTAGTAATGGAGCAAACCACGATTCTGCACTTGGACACAGAATTATTCCTGACAAGATCCTGGCTCCTAACTCTTCCACCAAAACCGAGTCTGCAGCTCCCACACTGAAATGCTGCTCATTTCACCCCAAGTGTGTTCCAGCCGTTCCTTCTTCTTCTCCTTCCTACCAGCTCTGTAATGTCTCCATCACAATGCTAAGGTCAGGGTCAATGGCACTTCATTTCAGAAACTTTCTGAGAGCCCTGGAAAGTAATCTCTTCTTGTTCTTATTCCATGATCTCCTGCACCTTCTTTAAATCACTGATGATCATTTGTGTAGATGAGTTGTCTCCGTGTGTGTCTGACCTTTCTCCCAGTTGGTGAGTTTTGGAATCCAGGAAGCATTTTAGTAAAGTAATAGTTTTTAGTAATTTAGTTCACCTCTGTGCACCCTACAGCCGTTTCTCACATGTTGGGGCTGCCCAGTGAGCACTTGCTGAGGGAAACTGCAGGGAGACTTGCAGGTCAGGTTCACCGAGCCAGAAAGTGAAGCAAACTGAGAGGGCAAAGTGCATGAAACTGGCTGAAATATACGAACACATTGGGGAAACAAACATCCCCGGCCTCTGTGGAGGCGGAACACAGTTGCTGAGGTCTGTGATTCAGCAGCACCCACCTGGCAAAGCATGCCCAGCATCGGGCTTCGTTCTCCCATAGTGCTTTCATGGCAAGGAAGAAAAGCTATACATACTAACATGGGCCAGCTGGAAACCACAGCTATATGGTATTGCTTTTCAGCTTTTCAGCTGGAATTCCGAAAGAACTCTGAGGTCATGTAGAGTGCGGCATACTGTTAGATGGGGCCTGGGTGGGCTTGGTTTTAGACGACCTGCCCCAGGTCATGGTCTGTGGTGCAGAGGGAGGGTGTGATTTCCCATCCCCTTATCTCTTTGTCCCATCTTTTTTGCCCTGTACACACATGATCGTCCTCAATATCTTAAGTAGGATCTCCCATATAGCTAAAATTGATATTGGCATCTAAAGTATGCCTAACTTAGCTGAATATTTGGCCTTTGCCTTTAAAGGATCTGTAAGCTATTGGGATGAGACCAAGGAGAAAAAGGAAGACCATAGATAACTCAAGCATAATCTGCCATCCATAATTTCATGACATGTTTATCCTCGGAATAAAGTTGGACTGTTGTCAGGAAACTGTCCCACCATTTTTTTTTGCATGTAGAGACCTCCATTGCTATGGCCTCCATTGTAATGGGCTGTCATTGGGTTTGAAAAAAGTCTACATGTTGATTTTGATGGCAATAAAAGAGTCAGAGGTGCAAGCTGGAGCAAGGTGCTCACCAAAGCTAGGCCTTTCCCCTCCCTCAGGAACTGGCAACAAGAGCAAGAGTTAGCTTCCTGAATGTTTGCATTTCAAAGAGACAGCTCTCAGGTCTTTGAGGAGACAATTCCGGGATGTAGATTTACACTTCAAAGGCAGAGAAAAGATTTATAATTGCAAGCTTTCTAAGGTTCTAAGAGGGGATTCGGGGCTCTACCTGCCCATCACCAGGTTTTGCCTGAAACAAACAGTAAATTCTCCTTGCAAGTGAGCTTTCTCAGGCAGTCATTTTAAGGAGGGCTGGGGTCATCCGCGGGACATCCTTGTGCTGCTGGAAGCCTCACTAGAGTTTGGTCCTCTCTTTGGGCAGGGGTTTGGAAGGAGTAGTTAAGTACTGCGAGGCCTGCGTTCTCATGACCAAAGTTCACAAATGCCCATTTCCTTCTTTCTTTCTTTTTCTTTTTTTTAATATTTAAAAATCTTTATGTGTCTATTAACACCTTTTGGAAATTTCCATCCCTTTCAAACTATGTTCCAGTCAAACAAAACAAAGTGTGGCCCAGCAGCCCTGGGGAGTCTCTGGGTGAAGGGGAGATGAGCACACAAATGTTGAGAGTTTGAGAACCCCTGGCCTTGATCTTTATGATAGTTGGTCAAGTGGTCATCAGTGAAATCCACAGGGATTCCCTGAGAGTGTATAGCTTTGGCATGATGGTTGCTGTAATCTGAAGGGGAAAGTAGAAGTTTACATGTGAGTACTGAAGAAGCTTGAGACTGTCTCGCTCTGTCACCCAGGCTGGATGCAGTGGGGCCTTCTGGGCTCACTGCAACCTCCACAATTCTCCTGCCTCAGCCTCCCCAGTAGCTGGGATTACAGGTGCCTGCCACCACATCTGGCTAATTATGTTTTTCTTTAAAATTAGTTTTATTTAAAAAGTACAAGTAGCATCTTACTTTTACTTTTGCAAAAAGTAAAGAAATGGTGTTTCGTTGCAAAAATTAAACAAATAAATTTTGGATTGTAGAAAATTCATTAAAAACTCAAATTTTAATTTATTTAAAATCTATCTGGTGCTGTAAGTGTGGCTATTGGCAGATCTCTTTTTATTTATTTTTATTGATTTATTCATATTATCAATAACTAATTTTTAAATTATTATTCGTGAGCCCTTTCCCATGACAGCTTCTTGGAAATTTCTTTCTCTCCCATTAATCTAGTATGATCTCTCAGGCATATTTATTTAAAGTTCTTCCTCTCACTATTCCCTTCTTCACCATCATGCCTAGGTTAGTTACAAAGAACTAATTTAATGACCCATTTATTCTGAAGGGAGGCACAAGAAGTGAAGCTTCTTTCTGAGGCCTGAAGGGATCTCACCTCCTTAAATCTCTGTTTTCCTACCCCTACTTCAGATGTTATTGAGACATTATATTTTCTTCCTCTACCTTCAGAAACTTCAGTATCAACAGGTCCAGATCTGCCTAAGCCCTCAGATGAGTCTGCAAACAATCATTGTGTCAACATTTGACTCATGCCTTGCAGATGATCCCAGGCACCGCTGTCTTAACCTGTGAAAACTGCAAATTCTTGGCACAAACAACTTCTTCTGCACATCCCTCCTCCTCATACATACAGTAAGGGACTTGGCCAAATTCCAACACAGCCTCTATCAGCTCGGAGCCACGTCCCTACGATGCCCCATACCCCTCTAAAGCACCTGCCTGGGAACATTCAATTCTGCCAAAAGAATTTACTGTTTGTCCCACCCAAAACTTGACTATAGGCCCCTGACCTCCCATTTCTAAGAGCCTTAACTTTAGAAAACTTGCAATTATGGCCAGGCGTGGTGGCTCAAATCCCATCACTTTCAGAGGCTGAGGAGGGTGGATCTTGAGGTCAAGAGAGCAAGACCATCCTGGCCAACATGGTGAAACCCCGTCTCTACTAAAAATACAAAAATTAGTTGGGCATGGTGGCACACACATGTAGTCCCAGCTACTTGGGAGGCTGAGGCAGGAGAATCACTTGAACTTGGGAAGTGGAGGTTGCAGTGAGCCGAGATCGCCCCACTACACTCTAGCTTGGTGACAGAGTGAGATTCCGTCTAGAAAAAAAAAACACAAAAAAAAACAGAAAACCTGTAGTTATAAACCTTTTCTCTGTCCCTTTAAATCTCCTATAACACAGAATGTCTTTCTCAAAGACTTAGGAGCTATCCCTTTGGACTATAAGGATCAAGAAGGATACAGGATTGTCTCCTGGTCTCTGTCTCTGCGTAGGAACCTAACTTTGATAAGCACTATTAGCAAACACAGATGGCCTCATCACATTGACCAACCTTTCCCCAAACATCAGTCCATGCTTTTCCTTTAGCACACTCCAACATTTGCAGAGCCTCTTGCTTTTTGTTTCAGTGGAGTTGAGGTTTTCTAACATACTATAAATTGATATGTCTACTTATTGATTAGAAGACAGAAATTAATCACTGGATTTCATTATCACGCTGACTTTTAGGATTAAAAGCAGCCTGTGGTTACAGATGCAACATCTTTACATTTCGAAGAAAAACAGGAGAGATTTGTCTTTGGCTCCTTTGGACCTCACTGATTAATAGAAAAGAGAGAATTGAACAGGTTTGGATGATACAGCACAAGTCAGTTTAAAGTTCCAGGCAAAGAAAGCAACGGTTATTTTTCACTCCAGAGAGTGAATCATTCTTTGGGGCCACAAAAGAGAAGATTTGAAGAATAAGCAGGGACATCTAGAAGGTGGCTGAGTGTACTCCATCGGGTTAAATTAAGCTATTTTGTTGTTGTTGTTCAAATAGCTTCCCCACAGGGTACATTTCATATCTAAAGTGCTATTCCCTCTCCCATCATTTTATTACGTACGCAATATCTGGCTGAGAACCTCTTTCTTGCCCTCCTTCTTACTGGTTAAGAACACAGACAGTCCTCTCTTTGCACAGCAGTGCAGGGCCATACAAATCACTATGTAAGCTAAAGATCTATAAAGTGACCTAAATAATCCATGTGAAACATCAACTGTTCTGTGTCATTTAAAAATTTTGGCCAAAACATTAAAAATCTCTTACTGTTGGTTATAAATGTATAAGGAAATGAAACATAGTGAAATTAGTACTTTTTTTTTTTTTTTTTTTTGAGATGGAGTCTCACTCTGTCGCCCAGACTGGAGTGCAGTGGCACGATCTCGGCTCACTGCAAGCTCCACTTCTTGGGTTCAAGCGATTCTTCTGCCTCAGCCTCCCAAGTAGTTGTGGCATGCCACCACACCAGGCTGATTTTTTCTATTTTTAGTACAGACAGGGTTTCACTGTGTTAGCCAGGATGATCTTGATCTCCTGACCTCATTATCCGCCTCAGCCTCCCAAAGTGCTGGGATTACAGGAGTGAGCCACCGTGCCTGGTTGGGAGTACTTCATTTTTACACTGTAATTTAAAACATTAAACAACAGCCAATTAAAGTGCTTTATTTATTTATAGACGTGTATCAAGCCCAGTTTGAACAGTGCTTGCCTCCCTCTTGTCGTATAGCTTATGATAAGGAGCCAGCAGTGTTTCTATGCCTTGGTGAACTGTCGTGCTGTTTTCGGAACAGCATCTAACATTGTCAACGTCATGCAATATCTACAAGAGTTCCTTTAATATGAAGTTTGTTGCTGTCTTTGCCGGCATCACTTCCTCTGGGGCTTCTTCATCCTTTTCATCACAGCTGCGTTCCTCATTTATGTCAGAACACTGCGTTGCGCCGAGTTCCTCTTGCTGCGTTTCCTGTGGTAAGCCAATTCTATGATTCCATTTACATTGTATTTGAATACACTTCCAGGGTTATCACATTTTTTATTTCTTTGCTGCACATCAATGGTTGTTGACCAGTTTTTTCTTCTGATTATTCATATTTATAAATGTCACATGGGTTTCTCACTGGGAGACAAGGAATCAACACGATTGCAGACTTTGCTGTCTGTGTGCGAACTAGCAGATGCACAGTGAGCAGTCACTGACAGGCTTTGAAGGAAGTGAATTGTGTCCCCCTAAAAAGATATGTTTGAAATCCTAATCCCCAATATCTCAAAATAATATGATCTTATTTGGAAATAGCACATTTACAGAGGTTCTCAAGTTAAAATGAGGTCATTAGGGTGGGTCTTAATCCAATAGACTAACTGGTGTCTTATAATAAAGGAGAATTTGGATACAGCTCCAGACACACACAAAAAAAAGATGATGTGAAGACACATAGAGAAAACAGAGTGATATATCTGTAGATCAGACAACACCAAGGATGGCTGGCAAACCCAAACAGGAAGGAGAGGGGAAGAAGGATTCTCCCCTAGAGCCAGCAGAGAGCGTGAACCTGCCAACACATTGATTTCTGACTTCTAGCCTCCACAACTACGAGTCAATACATTTCTGTTGTTTTAAGCAACCCGGCTTTTCATACTTTGTTGCAGCATCCCCACAAGATTAATACAGTCCCTAATCATGATGCTTGCCTGTTATTTACTCACATAGGCATTTGTGGAATTAAGAGCTGGGAACGAAGTTTGGATTTTATGCAGTTGCTCACAGTTAGCATATTGTGGTAACTGAAATTGTAACCACGTTTTTGGGAGACTAGTGCTATTTAACTAAACTATGTTAATTAAACCTGTGCATATTCAAATGTGCAAAGCCAGGACTGTTTTTACTTAGTTCAGGTATTTAGAGGGAAAGAATGTTTGCCTCTTTTCAGGGCCTTAGAGCATGCCCTGTGCCAGCAGGCCCCTTCCACAGCTACTTAACATCTCTTCTCATCTTGCCAGCCACCTCTCAACTCAGATGACCAGCAAGGCCATCTTTGACTATCAAAATGAAGTAGCCCCTCTCCGCTTTTGACTACGTTCACTTGCTTTATTGTCTTTATAGCATTTTTATTTACTAAAATAACATTTTTTTCATTACTTGATTTTTTCCTTGATTCAGTACTTCTAAAAAATGCAGATTAAAATTCCAATGACAAACCAAGTTAACTAATGTTAAAAAGTGTGATACTGGCCAGGCACGGTGGCTCATGCCTGTAATCCCAGCATTATGGGAGGCTAAGGCAGGCAGATCACAAAGTCAGGAGATCGAGACCAACCTGGCTAACACGGTAAAACCCCGTCTCTAACAAAAATACAAAAAATTAGCCGGGCGTGGTGGTAGGCAACTGTGGTCCCAGCTACTTAGGAGGCTGAGGCAGGAGAATGGTGTGAAACCAGAAGGCGGAGCTTGCAGTGAGCCGAGATCATGCCACTGTACTCCAGCCTGGGTGACAGAGCGAGACTCTGTCTCAAAAAAAAAAAAACAAAACAAAACTGTGATACTATTAGGTATTGTTGAGAATATAGATCTATCAGAACCTTTAACTTCTCATGGGAGCATAAATCGGAAAACAGTTCATTTTAACTTAGTGTACAAATCTTTTGACACAATGATTTGAATGTTGGGTTTATACCTTAGAGAAAATCTAACTCTTATGTCCAGGAGACTCATACAAGAAAAGGACATCTACTTTTTGTAACAGAAAAAAATGGATAATAACCCCAATCTAATAAAATGGAATGCTCATTATAGTATTATCCTGTGATGGAATACTCTAAATCAATGCACAGAAAGTACAGATAAACATATCATAAGAATGAATCTTACAAATTTAATATTGAACCAAAAAGCAATTTCAGAAAAATATATTCAGTGTGATCCCATTTGTTTAAACTGAAAAACATGTAAAACAATAATGTTCAATGTCCTTTACTAATGCGTTTATTTTGGCAAAATTATAAAGGCAAGAAATGGGACTAATTAACAGGACAGTGTTAAGGACTCTAAAAATATGGGTAGTTTTAGATTCTTAGGCAGGTAATGTGTACATCAGTGTTCATTTTATTATTTCTTACACTGTGTTCATGACTTACACATAATATTTTGCTAGTTTTAAAACATAAGATGTGATAATAATCTAAACAGACCAAAGGAAAAAAATGAATATGTTAAAAAAAAGACAGAGAATGAGCCCTGTCTGATAGAAAGCATAACAAAGCAAGTAGAATAACTCTCACGAATGCTTGATCCAATAAAGCTAGGTTTGTGCTCCACAACACTTCAGCATTTTAATGTGATTTTTGATGTTTGCTTTTTGCAACGGTGATTCTCAGTTGCCTCCCTCCTATGTCTTTACAAGCTGAAATCAAGTGAAGCTACTTCTGACTTTTTCTAAAACTAAAACACAACATGAAGGTCTGCGTATTCTTTCACATGTGCACGTATGTGGCACTTTTCCATGATGCAACAGCAGCGGGTCTCTAGCTAAGCTACAGCAGCAGCTCTAAGAGGCAGAGGACCCTGAAATGAGGCTGAAAGAAAGAATAGTCCATAACTGACATCAGGCAGGCTGCTGTTGTAAGCAAAGAAAGGAGGCTCACAGGGGCGCGGACTCAGGCCAGGTCAGGCTATTGTGGGAGAACACGGAGCACACGTGTCAGCTGGAAAGGGGCCGGCTCAGGAGACAAAATAGGCACGAGAGGAAACCGAAAAATTGACATACGTGACTATCCTTGTAGAAATGTATAAAGGTTTGGATTATTTTGCTTATCGAGTTATAATAAACTTATTCTAAAAATGTTTATGTAAAGTATTATGTACATTTTTGTTTTACCTTATAAAGATTATTTATATTTGAATTGTGTGGTTTTGGAATGACAGTATTTATAAAGTTGGTTTTGACATTCTCTACGATGCTTAATGAAGAAACTGACGTTCAAAGAGATTGGTTAATTCCCTGTGGCCAGTGGCTGAGCTGGGACAGAGTTCAGGTTTTCTGATTCTCAGCCTATGTTGTTTTCTCTTCATTTTAATGTGAACCTAAATAGGTATAGGATCTAGACAAATATGACATGTAGTGCCTTATTTCTTGTTTTCTCTGTAATGAATGCCAGGTGAGATAACTTTATTTACAAAAGCCCATCCAGTGGCTCAGGTTGCATCTGTAGTTGCCTTTGAATCATTTATTCAACGTCAGGATGGTAAAGTGAGGAGCTTCCCCAAACTGAAGCAGAGTGGCATTTGTCCCAGGTTGTAGAGTGTTCCCTGCCATAAATAAAGACATGCTGGTTCTTGTTATTTATACAGGCACTGGGGTTCCCATTAGCTCTTACATTTCATATGCTTAGAGCAAGAAGCTAGAGAGTGACTTAGGATACAGTGTAAAGATATTAGTAAATTAAGGCAGTTCTGCAAGATTTTTAGGACTTCTTTTTTTCTTCTATTCATCATTTATGAAGTATTCTTGCTGGAAATAGTTTATGTCTCTCTATCTTGCTGAGTGATGAATACTCGGCCAGGATGCTAAAATGTGGTTTCATGAAGTATGTTGTGTTTCTGTCTGTTCTTGTTTCCTTCCTTGAAATGTGTAAAAGTGAAAAACATATTAATCATAAATCAAGCATTCATCATAAGCCTAAAAAAAGACAAAATAATCAGTAGTATCATTGACTAAAATTATTACTCACCAAAAGAAACTCACTCCAAAGTTAGCACAATACTAACAGAGAATCCTAGTTTTGCCAGGAATCACTGAGGCATAGTACCTCACATGGGAAACATGGGAAGTAAAACCACCTGAGGAGCCGCTTGATGGTGAGTCAGGCTGTTCCTCGAAGAGCAGGCTGTGACTGCCAAACTTTGTAGGTTAAGGAGTATTTATAATGATCTTTGAGGAAACTGCAACTGACAATTGAGGAAAAAAAATGTTAGTTCATGACTGCAAAATACATGACAGAATCACAAAAACTATTTTACAAGTTTAAAAAAAAAAACCTGATGCTGATGCAGGGCAGGCGAACCCCAAAGTGGGGCTTAGCCTGCAAGGGTTCTTGGCTTCACCCAGGAAAGGATTCAAGGGCGAGCCAGTGGTAAGGTGGAAGAAAACACCTTTATCAAAGCAACACTGTTACAGCTCCTGTGGGGTCACAGCTCAGTGACTGCTCCCAGGGTTGCCCCATAGGCAGGGTGCCGAGAGTAGTGGCTGAGCCCAGTTTTGCAGTCATATGTATACCTACTTTTAATTACATGCAGATTCAGGGGTGGTTTGTGCAGAAATTGTTAGGAAAAGGGTGGTAATTTTTGGGTCATCAGGTCATTGCCGCTGAAAGGGGTGGTAATGCCTGAGTGTTGCCATGGCAATGGTAAACTGACAGGGCACACTGGTGGGTGTGTCTTACAGAAAGCTGCTTCCACTCTGTCCTTGTTTAGCTAGCCCTCAATCTTTTGTTTGTAAATTAGCAAGAGAGTCATGGCCTTGGCGTTTTATCCCAGAAGTACAGTGGACCCCAGAGCACTCTAGACCCAGGAGCCAAACCAAATCACAGCATCCCACAGTTGTGTCCAGCCCTCCATCACTGATTGGCTGCAATCCAACAAGTGGCCCAGAGGGGAGGGTTCATTGAAAGCTCTTTGCTAAGTGACAGGCCTTTAAGGAGGAAAAGGCTCTTAAAGATTGGTATGGGATGGGGGAAGTGTTTGTGGTCACCACGGCACCCCAAGGCTGTGGCCTTCTCTGAGCACCCTGAGACTCAGCCATGTCTTTCTCTCTGTTTTCCCACAAAACCAGCCAGTGCTAAAGCATATCCTCCTGGCCTACAAACAGGGGCCATGACTTCCAACTCATCCAGGCTACTTCTGATTTAGTGTTAGGCCGCCCACTTGATGTGTATGTTCCCATGCTGTGTCGACCCTATTGCTTAATGAAAACACACAGCACTCGTTTGCTTCTCAACTTACTTCTCATGAAATATTACTACTCCTCCCCACCCAATCACAATCCTTTGCTGCCAAAAATCCCTTGCTACCCTGTACATTTTGCCCAATAAGGGAACCCCTCAGCACACACACACAATGGCCTACTCAGAAGGCTGAGTCAGCAGGATCCCATGAACCAGGGAGTTGCAGGTTGCAGTGAGCCAAGATCACGCCACAGCACTCCAACCTGGCGACAGAGCAAGACTCTGTCTCAAAACAAACAAACAAACAAACAAAAAACAAAAAAAATGCCTCACTCATCTCACTTATGTAATCATGACAGTACCATTAATTGTATTATCCCTATAATACAGATGACAGCTGCCAAAAATATGCAGAGAAGGGTTAATTAAACTGCATAACATTACTCAGAGAATGCATTCTTTTTATTCCATAGGTTTTTCTATTACAGTACTACATACACAGAGGCCTTCCATTGGAAATAACTTATAGGAATTATTGTAGGTCTCTTTGCACTTTCTTCAGCTCTTGGTTTAGGTCTCAAATTGTGAGTGATTTCTCTCTTTAGTGAAGTTGTAATGCAATTCATTACCATAGCAGAAAACACAGAAAATATTACCTATTTATTAACTGGAAATGCACTCACATCTTGTATTAGTCCATTCTCATGCTGCTATGAAGAAATATCCAAGACTGGGTAATTATAAAGAAAAGAGGTTTAATTGATTCACAGTTCCACATGGCTAGGGAAGCCTCAGGAAACTTACAATCATGGCAGAAGGCACCTCTTCACATGGTGGCAGCAGAAATAATGAGTTTTGAGCAAAGGGGAAGCCCCTTATAAAATGATCAGATCTCATGAGAACTCACCCACCATCATGAGAACAGCATGGGGGCAACTACCCCATGATTCAATTATGTTCACCTGATCCTACCCTTTACACTTGGGGATTATGGGAACTGCAATTCAAGATGCGATTTGGGTGGGGACACAGAGCCAAATCATATCATTCTGTCCCTGGCCCCCCTCCAAGTCTCATGTCCTCACATTTCAAAACACAATCATACCTTTCCAACAGTTCCCCAGAGTCTTAGCTCATTACAGCATTAACCCAAATGTCCAAGTCCAGAGTTTCATCTGAGTCAAGTCCCTTCCACCTATGAGCCTGTAAAATCAAAAGCAAGTTAGTTACTTTGTAGATACAATGGAGGCACAGGCATTGGGTAAATACACCCATTCCAAATGGGAGAAATTGGCCAAAACAAAGGGGCTACAGGCCCTATGCAAGTCTGAAATCCAATAGGGCAGTCATTAAACCTTAAAGTTCCAAAATGTTCTCCTTTGATTCCAGGTCTCACATCCAGGTCACACTGATGCAAGAAGTAAGCTCCCATGGCCATGGGCAGCTCCACCCCTGTGGCTTTGCAGGGTACAACCCCCTCCTGGCTGCTTTCATGGGCTGGTATTGAGTGTCTGTGGCTTTTCCAGGGGCACAGTGAAAGTTGTCAGTGGATCTACCATGCTGGGGTCTGGAGGACAGTGACCCTCTTCTCACAGCTCCACTAGGTAGTACCCCAGTGAGGACTCTGTGTGGGGGCTCCAACCCCACATTTCCGTTCTGCACTGTCCTAGCAGAGGTTCTCCATGAGGGCTTTGCCCCTGCAGCAAACTTCTGCCTGGGTATCCAGGCATTTCCATACATCCTCTGAAATCCAGGTGAAGGTTCCCAAACCTCAATTCTTGACTTCTGTGAACCCACAGGCTCAACACCACATGGAAGCCTCCAAGGCTTGGAGCTTGGACCCTCTGAAGCAATGGCCTGAGCTGTACCTTGGCCCCTTTTAACTGTGGCTGGAGCTGAAGCATCTGGGAGACAGGGCACCATGTCTCAAAGCTGCATAGAACAGGGGGTCTTGGGCCCATGAAACCATTTTTCCCTCCTAGGTTTCCAGGCCTGTGATGGGAGAGGCTGCCAAGAAGGTCTCTGACTTGCCCTGGAGACATTTCCCTCATTGTCTTGGTAATTAGTATTCCACTCCTTGTTCTGCAAATTTCTGCAGCTGGCTTGAATTTCTCCCAAGAAAATGGGTTTTTCTTTTCTATCGCCTTGTCAGGCTGCAAGTTTTCCAAACTTTTATGCTCTGCTTCCTCTTGAACACTTTGCTGCTTAGAAATTTCTTCCACGAGATACCCTAAATCATCTCTCTCAAGTTCAAACTTCCACAGCTCTCCAGGGCAGGGGCAAAGTGTTGCAGTCTCTTTGCTAAAGCGTAGCAAGAATCACCTTTATCCCAGTTCCCAACAAGTTCCTCATCTCCATCTGAGACCACCTCAGCCTGGACTTCATTTTCCATGTCACTATCAGCATTTTGGTAGAAGCCATTCAAGTCTCTAGGAAGTCCCAAACTTTCCCACATCTTCTTGTCTTCCAAGTCCTCCAAGTCTCTAGGAAGTTCCACACTTTCCCACATTCTTCTGTCTTCTTTTTTTTTTTTTTTGAGATGGAGTTTCGCTCTTGTTGCCCAGGCTGGAATGCAGTGGTGCAATCTCTGCTCACTGCAACCTCCACCTCCCATGTTCAAGCCATTCTCCTGCCTCAGCCTCCCAAGTAGCTGTGATTACAGGCATGCATCACGATGCCCAGCTAATTTTATATTTTTAGTAGAGATGGGGTTTCACCATGTTGGCCAGGCTGGTCTCAAACTCCTGACCTCAGGTCATCCACCTGCCTCGGTCTCCCAAAGTCCTGGGATTACAGGGATGAGCCACCACACCCAGCCTTTACTGTCTTCTTCTGAACCCTCCAAACTATTCCATCCTCTGCCTGTTGCCCAGTTCCAAAGTCAATTCCACATTTTAGTGTATCCTTATAACAGCACCCTATGTCTGTGATACCAATTTACTGTATTAGTCTGTTTTCATGCTGTTATGAAGAACTCCTCAAGACTGGGTAATTTATAAAGAAAAGAAGTTTAATTGACTCATAGTTTCACATGGCTGGGGATGCCTCAGGAAACTTACAATCATGGCCAAAGGCACCTCTTCACAGGGTGGCAGCAGAAACAATGAGTTCTGAGTGAAGGAAGAAGCCCCTTATAAAACCATCAGATCTTGTGAGAACTCACTATCACGAGAACAGCCTGGAGAAAACCACCCCTGTGATTCAATTATGTCCATCTGGTCCCACCCTTGACACATAAGGATTATGGGAATTACAAGATTACACATTAATCTTAAATTACACATTAATAAGTGTGTAATGAAACATCCCCTTTTTTTATTTGAGTTCATTTCAATAGATATGGAAATAATAGAAAATGCATCTGACATCAAATTCCTGGGAAGTACAGGCAAAAAACAAAACAAAACAAAACAAAAAACAGATCTTTAAAGGTATTTGAATAAGTAAATGTTGCAGCCAAACCATATCACTTGTTAAAAATGCACGTTAACCATTGAATCAAAACCATATATAAGCTTAGATAATTCAATTTCAACCAGATTATTCCTTTTATTCTTTAAATGATGGAGAACATTATAGCCATAGGCTCGTGCTGACAATTTTTCCTTAAATGAATGAAAAGATGAATTTATTTTTCTCAAAGAATTCTGTACCATTATAGGAATAAAAGATCAGCAGTTGTAACAGGGAATGGCCAAAAAGCCTGAAATAACATTGCTGTTAAGAATTAGCTGTTACAAAATCGCCCCAAGAAATCTCAGTGCTCCACAAACTTCACATGGTTGAAGGTCATAATTATTATAAAAGTTGAACTATGTTAATTCAGAGATCACTGTCATTATTACTCTCAAGGATCCGAGAGCCATGCATAATCCCAGAACATTGCGTACCTAATCAGGAATGGAGAAGTAATGTCCTTTTGAATTTTATACCTCTGGGGCTGCCCATAAAAATCTTAGGATTTTGAGCTCTTTGAGGGTCATGATTTTTACCTCTATTCTCTTTGTGTCCACAAACATCTAAGATATCAGTAATGTTATTCACTAATTTGCTGACAAAGAGGAAATTGAATAAAATTTAAATATATTTACTCTGAAAGTAATAAAATTTAAATATATTTACTCTGAATATATGATCTTTAGAATAAACTAATTTTTCAGTGATTCATTCTGCACAATTTTAAATCTTTTTCATAGTAACCTCAGTTTGTGTGACTTTAAATGGGAAAACTCACATTTTAAATGTATAATGAAACATCCTCATTTTTGATTTGAGTTCATTTCAATAGATATGGAAATAATAGAAAATGTCCCTGAGGTCAAATTCCTGGGAAGTAGAAGCAAAAAAATACCAGATCTTTAAAGGTATTTGAATAAGTAAATGTTGCAGTCTGTACTTTATCAGTAAGCTATGATACAAAAAACAATGCATGGCAGTTGCTTGTCAATTTTGTGATTTATTCAGAAACATACATCTCTGCATACACTTACAGTTTTATACAGTAGTGCAAAACGTCAAAAGCACTGATGTTGCTCAAAGGAAATGTTAAGGAGCTAACTAAGGCTCGCTCCAAATTCCTTCACAAACCCGTCCAATCCTGTGAGCACTGAGCGGCCTTCACATCACAGCCTGCATCCTGACAGGCCCGTGAGACCCATCCCGCTTCATGGAACGTGAGTCAGCAGCTCAGGGAAGGACAAGGACATCTACATAATTGGCTTGAAATATTCAACTTTTCAAAATTTTATATTTTCATACATATATATTCTTAAAATGTATTTTTGTTTTTCTATCCGAACAGAAGTGCAATAATTCTTTAAAAATACTTCTAAACAGACCAGGGCAGTGGCTCACACCTGTAATCCCAGCACTTTGGGAGGCCGAGGCAGGTGGATCACAAGGTCAGGAGATTGAGACCATCCTGGCTAACACGGTGAAACCCTGTCTTTACTAAAAATACAAAAAAATTAGCCAGGTGTGGCGGCGGGCGACTGTAGTCCCAGCTGCTGGGGAGGCTGAGGCAGGAGAATGGCGTGAACCCGGGAGGCGGAGCTTGCAGTGAGCCGAGATCGCGCCACTGCACTCCAGCCTGGGTGACAGAGCGAGATTCTGTCTCAAAAAAAAAAAAAAAAAGATAGAAAATAGCATTAACCTTGAAGGACGCTTTACGCCAAATGGACCTAATAGACACATACAGAAACTTCACCCAACAGCAGCAGAATACACATTCTTCTCAGGGACACATAGAACATTCTGCAGGATAGACAACAGGTTAGACCACAAGACGAATCTTTGCAAATTTAATATTAGAATCATATCAAGTACCTTTTCAGACAACAATGATATGACACTAGAAACCAACAATAGAAGGAATTCCAGAAAATGTACGAATACGTGGAAACTAAGCAACATGGTGGTGAACCACCAATAGGTCAATGAAGAAATGAAAATTAAAAGAATTAAGCAACATGCTCTTGAACAACCAATAGGTCAATGAAGAAATTAAACAAGAAATGTAAAAATATCTTGAGAAAAACAAAAATGGAAACACAACATACCGAAACTTATGAGATACAGCAAAAGCATTTCTAAGAGGAAAGTTTATAGCAATAAACATCAACAGCAAAAAGAAGAAAGATCTCAAATAAACAACTTAGTATTATGCCTCAAGGAAATAGAAAAAGGATATCAAATTCTTCCAATGTTAGCAGAAGGAAATAAAATAATAAAGATCAGAGCAAAAATAAGTGAAATGAAAACTAGAAAATGACACAAAAGATGAACAAAACTAAGTTTCTTAAAAATATAAAACCAATAATCTTTTAGCTAGACTAAGAAAAAAGGAGAGAAGACTCAAATAAATAAAATTAGAAATGAAAAAGGAGACATTATAACTGATACCACAAAAATACAAAGGATCATAAGAGACTGTTACAATTACATGCCTTTACAAAAATCATTTTTTCATTGGCAACAACATTGGAAAATGTTATGCTAAAAGAAATAAGCGAAGCCAAAAAAGACAAAAACTTCATGTTCTCAATTATATGTGGAATCTAAAACAATCAAACTGAAAGAAGCAGAGAGCAGAATGGTCATTAGCAGAGGCTGGAGGTGCGGGGTGGAACGGATAGATATTGGACAAAAGGTACAAAGCCTCATTTATACAAAAGGAATAATAAGGGTTTTTTTTCTTTGAGATATATTGCAAAACTTGGTGAAAATAGTACATAGTAAAGAATTCTACATTTTAAAAATCACTAAGAGAGTAAATTTCAAATGCATTCCCCATTAAAAATGACAAGTATTTGAGGTGGTGGATGTTAATTAGCTTGATATAATTATTCCAAATTGTATTCATAAATTATATCATCATTTTGTACTCCATAAATATACACAACTATGATTTGTCAATTTACAATTTAAAAATAAAAATCAAAGCACAAAACAAAACAAGAAAACACAATACGTGTGTGTGTACCTATGCATGTGTGCGTCCATACAAGTGCACACACACACCCCCTTCACCTCCATTACTTTCCAAAGTGGACAAATGTGTAATTATTTCTAATTAATCATTAGAAATACATCAAGGAACAAGTACAATAAGGCAAGTAAATTTACTGATATCCCATCAGAGATAAGTGGGACATTGCAAATTAACAACAATGGAGGAACAAACCACAGTTTATTTTCTTACTTTATGAGACATCCTTTTTGAATTTTGAAAAATTATAGAGAAGTATCTTTAATTTGGTGTAGATGCTTAGTTATTCAAAAGGGAACTTAGAAAAATTAGAAGCAGACCACTTCATTATTTTTCACAATAATAACCAATATGAAACTTTTCCTGGAAGACTAAAATCTTACCACAAAGAAATTAAGCAAAAACATTGGGCACTTCTTATATAAATACAGCCTGTTTTGAAATGGTATGTTTTTTAATTTTTACAAATATTTTCACTTGCAGATAATTTCGCATGTGCATAAAAGTTGAAAAAATATGCAAAGAACTCCCATATACCTACCCTTTACCCAGGTTTATCAATTGTTAACATATCATCACACTTGTTTATTCTAGATAGGTATTGATATAGATATACACACACATTTTTCTGAATTATCTAAGAGCAAGATGCAGACAGTATGCCCCTTTATTTCTATACACTAGTGTAGATTTCCTAGGAACAAAGTCATTCCTTAAAGGAGGAAATTCAGTGAGGCTTTCTGCAGTAAATGACATTCTGAGCCAGCTGATTTGGCCTTGTGACCAATATGAGGGACTATTTAACTTTGTATTTTTTTATCTCCTTCTTTCTTTACACCCAGTTATATTGTTTTCCATTTCGTTTACTCGCATAAATGTCAGATTTGTCCATGTGATTTATCAGGTTTATCAGAATATCAACTTGAATCTTTTCTTTTCTCTAACATTTATCTAAATATCTCAGGAGACTCTCATCCTTCCTTCTCTCCTTTATTCCATTTGCAAAGTTAAAAAAAAAAGCCTCAATTATGGCATTTCAGTATTCATAGTAGTACAGATAATACATTTATATCAAGGAAAAGAAACGCATTTTAGGCCAGGCGCGGTGGCTCACGCCTTTAATCCCAGCACTTTGGGAGGCCAAGGCGAGCGGATCAAGAGGTCAGGAGATGGAGACCATCCTGGCCAACATGATGAAACCCCGTCTCTACTAAAAATACAAAAATTAGCTGGATGTGGTGGCGCGTTCCAGTAGTCCCAGCTACTCCGTAGGCTGAGGCAGGAGAATTGCTTGAACCCGGGAGGCGGAAGTTGCCGTGAGCCGAGATGGTGCCATCGCACTCCAGCCTGGCGACAGAGCGAGATTGTCTCTCAAAAAAAAAAAAAAAAAACGCATTTCAAAGGTAAGGAGACATAATATAGAATTTGTACACCAGATTCTGAACTTATGACTATTTTTAAAGGATAATTTGAAAGTTCTACCAGAATATGCTGCTTCTTGATTTGGTCTTATTTTGCTCTTTTTATTTCTTGTTTTTGTTTGTTGTTTGAGGTAGGAATTTAGTTGGTTGAGGACTTTATCACTTCTAATATAAACATTTAGTAATAAAAATTTTCCTCTCACCTCTGCTTCAGCTGCATCTTACATATTTTCATATACCTTATTTTTATTTTAAATCAGTTGTATGCACTTTAGTATATTGTCAACAAGATAATATTTCTAAAATAAAAACCAAGACATCAAGGGTTTACTTTCTGAACATTTCTTAACATTAAATCAGCACAGCATCTTCCCAGATCTTTTCGTTTTTGGATGGCTCCATACTTTATTCCCTACCCACTTCCTCTTTCCTTTAAAGAATGATTAACAGATTCCATAGACAATATCAAATAAAACCCGAAACATAACCAAAGTAATTGGAAGTAAAAGAGAAGGAAGGGTAAGATAGTTAACATAAACATGAACCAGTTTATACACTTTTTAATAATGTTTTTCTTTTACTTAAAAAATAAGTAGAGTGTAAAGGTAGTCCTTTGTTTAATCACTGAATCTCAAACTGTTTACTACAGAATAAAACAAGTAAAATAATCATCATCCATTATAAGCTTAATCAAGATGAGCACTGTTTAATCCTGATTAATTTATAACTAATTTTCTGCTGCTGGTACACTTTTTAAAAACAGCTTTGTTTAGCCATAATTTAAATTTTGTGTAATTTACTCACTTAAAATGTTTCATACATATTAATATATTCATTCAGTTGTTCAATCATCACCAAAGTTTCATTTTATAACATTTTTGGTACCCTCAAAGAGTCCCAGTACCCATTAGCAGTCACTTCCCATTCCTCCTCCACCTTACATCATTAGGCAACCACTGTCTAAACTTGCCTGTTTGGGAGATTTTATATAAACGGAATAATACAAAATGCACTCTTTGGTTCTGGTTTCTTTTATGCAGCATGATATTTACAAGAATATAATATTTTCACCCAGGTTGCAGCATGTGTTAGTACTTCATTCCTTTTGTTGGTCAATAACATGATATCATATATACGATATATGATACACCATATTGTATTTATCCATTCATCAGTTAATTAACATTGGGGTTGTTTTTACTTTTTGGCTATTATAAGTAATACTGTAATAAATATTAAAATTTTTTAAGAGCTTGTGAAGAATGGCACTAATTCTTCTTTAAATGATTGGTAGATATTATTCTAGAAATGATATCATTTCGTCAACATTATCTAATATGTTGACATTCTTTTTTTCATAGTACCTTTAATAGTTCTTTTTATTTCTATAAGGTCAATAGTAATGTCCCTCTTTCATTCTTAATTTTAGTAAGTTGAATCTTTCTTTCTCCCTGTAAGTGTAGCTAAAGTTTGTTAATTTTGTTAATCTTTTTAAAGACCCAACTCTTGGTTTTGTTGATTTGCTCTACCATTTTTTCTATTTCTTTAATTTCTATTTCAATGTTTATTATATCCTTTCTTCTGTTTATTTTTCATCATGATCTCATCTCTGACTCATTGGTTATTTAGAAGTATGTAGCTAATTTTTATAAGTTCTGCTTTTCCCAAAGTTCTTTCTGTTTTTAATTTCTAATTTAATTCCACTTTGATCAAAGAACAATCATTTTCTACTTTTTTTGAGGTTTGGTTTTTGGCCTAGCATGTGATCTATTTTAGGAACTGTTCCATGTGCACTTGAGAGTAATGTTCTGCTTTTGGGTGTACTGTACTGTCATCTAGCTAGTTTATACTGTTACTCAAATCCTCCATATTCTTGCTAGCATCTATTTAGCTTTTCTGATTATCGAAAGTGAGATACTGATGTCTGCTACGATTACCATCTCCAACTATTATTGTTGAATTCTACCTTTAATTCACCTTTAATTCTACCTTTAATTTTTGCTTTGTAGATTTTGGAAAAATTTCGTTCAGTGCACATAGGTTTATAATTTTTATACCTTCTTGATATATTGTCTCTTTAACATTACAGCATGTCCTTCTTTATCTCTGATGTATCAGTCTGTTCTCACAGTGCTAATAAAGACATACTTGCGACTGGGTAATTTATAAACGAAAGAGGTTTGACCTGGCTAGAGAGGCCTCACAATCACGGTGTAAGGCAAGGAGGAGCAAAGTCACATCTTACAATCATAGCGGCACGCAAGAAAGCATGCTTTATAAAAGCATCACATGGCCGGGCGCTGTGGCTCACGCCTGTAATCCCAGCACTTTGGGAGGCCGAGGCGGGCGGATCATAAGGTCAGGAGATCAAGACCATCCTGGCTAACACGGTGAAACCCCGTCTCTACTAAAAATACAAAAAAATTAGCCGGGCGAGGTGGCGGGCGCCTGTAGTCCCAGCTACTCGGGAGGCTGAGGCAGGAGAATTGCGTGAACCCCGGGGGGCGGAGTGTGCAGTGAGCCGAGATCGCGCCACTGCACTCCAGCCTGGGCAACAGCGAGACTCCGTCTCAAAAAAACAAAAAAAAAAAAACAAAAACAAACAAACAAACAAAAAAGCATCACATAACTGGTATGAGATAGTATCTCATTGTGGTTTTGATTTGCCTTTCTCTAATGACCAGCGATGATGAGCTTTTCTTCATATGTTTGTTGGCTGCATAAATGTCCTCTTTTGAGAAGTGTCTGTTCATATCCTTTGCCCACATTTTGATGGGGTTGTTTGTCTCTTGTAAATTTGTTTAAGTTCTTTGTAGATTCTAGATATTCGCCTTTTGTCAGATGGACAGATTGTAAAAATTTTCTCCCATTCCGTAGGTTGCCTGTTCACTCTGATGATAGTTTCTTTAGCTGTGCAGAAGCTCTTTAGTTTAACCAGATCCCATTCGTCTATTTTGGCTTTTGTTGCCATTGCTTTTGGTGTTTTAGTCATAAAGTCCTTGCCCATGCCTATGTCCTGGATGGTATTGCCTAGATTTTCTTCTAGGGTTTTTATGGTTTTAGGTCTTATGTTTAAGTCTTTAATCCATCGTGAGTTAAATTTTGTATAAGGTGTAAGGAAGGGGTCCAGTTTCAGTTTTCTGCGTATGGCCAGCCAGTTTTCCCAATACCATTTATTAAATAGGCAATTCTTTCCGCATTGCTTGTTTTTGTCAAGTTTCTCAAAGATCAGATGGTTGTAAATGTGTGGTGTTATTTCTGAGGCCTCTGTTCTGTTCCATTGGTCTATATCTCTGTTTTGGTACCAGTACCATGCTGTTTTGGTCACTGTAGCCTTATAGTATACTTTGAAGTCAGGTAGCATGATGTCTCCAGCTTTGTTCTTTTTACTTTTGCATCTTTTAAAGAAGCTGAGGAAGAAAGGAGGGCAAGTATACATTTGTAAAGTTTGTGATATTAATCTTCTTATCTGCCATTTCTGGTTCTCTTTATTTTTGTACACCTGAAAAACCATCTGGTGTCAACCTCTTGGTTGGTCCAATATAGATTTGCTTCTGCTCATATCCTTTGTGCCATTATTGTCAAATATATTACATTTCCATAGGTTACGAATCCAACAATCTGTGTATATACATATCATTTTATGCAATTGCATTTTAAATCATTTAAGGAAAGAAGACAAAATATCCAATTATACTCTAACAATTATCTACATAATTCAATTTACCAGCCTCTTTGTTTTCTCATATGGGGTTGAACACGTATCAGGAATCAGCTTGGAAATCTTTTGTTAGTGTTAATAAATATCAAGATAAATCTTCCAGCAACACATTTTCTCAATTTTTGTTTATATGAAAATGTCTATTTTTTTTTTTTTTTTTTCGAGACAGAGTCTTGCTCTGTTGCCCAGGCTGGAGTGCAGTGGTGCGATCTTGGCTCACTTCAAGCTCCGCCTCCCAGGTTCACGCCATTCTCCTGCCTCAGCCTCCCGAGTAGCTGGGACTACAGGCACCCGCCACCACGCCTGGCTAATTTTTTCTATTTTTAGTAGAGACGGGGTTTCACCATGTTAGCTAGGATGGTCTCGATCTCCTGACCTTGTGATCCACCCACCTCTGCCTCCCAAAGTGCTGGGATTACCGGAGTGAGCCACCACGCCCAGCCAGAAAATGTCTATTTAATCTTAAGTCTTAGCATATAGTTTTGCTAGATATAAGATTCTTGGTCTCTTATTTTCTTTAATCACTTTTAATATGTCATTCCACTTTCTTCTGCCTTCTATTACTTATGATGAGCAATTAGTTTTTAATCTTATTGGAGTTTCCTTTATGTGATAAATCTATATATGAATATCAATTGGATCCTGTTGGTGAACTGTGTAGTTCATATTTTTCTATATCTATGCGAATTTTCTGACTAGTAATTCTGTCAGCTAGTGAGAAGGTTGGAATCCCCAACTATAATTGTAGATTTGTCTATTTCTTCTTTCAGTATTCTCTGATTTTGCTCCATGTATTTTAAAATTCTGTTGGTTTATATACATTTAGGATCATTGTGTCTTCATAGTAGCTTGGCTTTTAAAAATATGTAATATCTTTCTTTGTCTTTAGTAATTTTCCTTACTCTGAAGTCTCTCCATCAGATATTAATATAGCCATTCCTGCATTATTTTGTTAATATTTGCATATTATGTCTTTTTCATGCATTTAATTTCAATTTACCTATTTTATTAAATGTAAAGTAGGTTTCTTATAAACAGCTTATGATTAGGATATTTTGAAATCTACTTTGCTAATCTCTCACTTTTTATTAATGTATTTAGATAATTTTAAAAAATAAGATGCTTCAGTTTTTACTAAGTTTTAGGTTTACAGAAAAAAAGATGAAAGAAAAAAACAGTTCCCGTATACCTCCCTGCAGTTTCTCCTATTTTTAGCATCTTACATGAGTGTGGCACATTTGTTAGAATCCATGACCCAGTATTGATACACCATTAGTTACTAAAGCCCATAGTTTATATTAGGCTTCACTCTTTGTGATTGACGTTCCATGGGTTTGGACAAATATATAATGGCATGTATCCAAAATTACTGTGTCATACATAACAGTGTTACTATTCTGAAAATCTCTTGTGTTCAATTTACCCCTAGTCCCCTTTCCCTCAAACTCCTGGCAATCACTGAGCTATTTACTGTGTCTGTAATTTTTCATTTTCCAGAATGCCATGTAGTTGGAATCATACAGAAATTAGTTCGTTAGACCTCGAACTTCGTTCTTCTCCTTCAATATTATGTTGGCTGTTCTGGATCTTTTGTCATTTCATATAAACTTTTGAACCAGTTTGTGGATATCCACTTAATAATTTGCTGGAATTTTGATTGGGGTTCCATTAAATCTACAGATCAAGTTTTGAAGAAATGACATTATGACAATATTGAGTCTTCTTATCCATGTACATAGAATATCTCTCCATTTATTTAGATCTTCTTTGATTTCTTTCATCAGTTTGTAGTTTTTTCTCATATAAACTTTGTACATATTTTATTCTATTTATACTCCATTTATTTAGATCTTTGATTTCTTTCACCAGAGTTTGTAGTTTTCTCATATAAACCTGGTACGTATTTTATTCAATTTATGCCTAAACATTTCTCTTTTCAATGCTAAAGTAAATGGTATTATGCTTTTAATTTCAAATTCCAATTGCCCATTGCTGGTATATCAGAAATCAATTGACTTTTGTACATTAACATTATATTCTACAACCTTACTATAACCACATGTTAGTTCCACAAATGTTTTGGTTGATTTTGGGGGGATTTTTTACATAAACAGTCATGCCATCTGTGAGCGGAGTCTTATTTCTTTCTTCCAAATCTGTTTAACTTTTATGTGTGTTTCACGTTTTATTGCATTAGCTAGGACCCTCAGTATGATGTTGAGTAAGGTGAGAGCAGGCATTCTTGCCTTGTTTTTCATCTTACCAGGAAAGCATCTAACTTCTTACCAGGGAATATGATGTTAGCTGTAGGTTTCCTATAGACATTGTCACTTTGAGGAAGTTTCCCTCTATTCCTAATTTGCCGAGAGTTATCGTTAATGGATGTTGGATTTTGTCAAATGTTTTTCTGCATCTGGTGATGTGATCTTGTTTTTTTTTCTTTTTCTTGTTAATGTGATGAAATATATCAGTTTATTTTCAATTGTTGAACTAGCCTTTCATAATTAGGATAAGGTCCACTTCATCATCTTTTTACACATTATTGGATCCAATTTGCTAATACTTTGTTCAGGATTTTTGCTTAATGAAAGATAGTGCTCTTTGTTTTTTCTTTCTTGTAATGTCTTTGGTTTTGGTGTATGGTAATAATGACCTCATAGAATAACTAGGGAAGCATTCTGTATGCTTCTGTTTTTTGGAAAATATTCTGGAGAATTGTTATAATTTTTCTTTTAAGTGTTAGAATTTACCAGAGAACTCTCTGGGGCTTGGTACTTTCTATTTTATCAGCTTATTAATTATTGATTCAGTTCCTTTGATAGATATAGGACAACTCAGATTGTCTTTTTCTCCTGGTGTGAATTTTAGTAGATTGTATATTTCAAAGAAGTGCTGCATTTTATGTCGGTTATCAAACTTATGAAGTTGTTAATAATATTTCTTTATTTTTTTAAATGTTTTAATGTCCATAGTATCTATAGAGGTGGTTCTTCTTTAAATGTTGATATTAATAATTTGTATTCTTTTTCTCTCTTACTCTGGATAGAGATTTACCAATTTTATTTATCTTTTCAAAGAATCAGATTTTTATTTGTTGATTTTTTTCTATTGATTTTTCTGTCTTCAAGTTTATTGATTTTTATATTTTTCTTCTCCTTATTTTGAGTCTAATTTGTTCTTCCTTTACTAGCTTCCTAAGGTGAAAAGTTAGATTATTAATTTTAGACCCTCCTTGGGATGCAACATGTACATTCAATGCTATAATTTTGGTCTAAGCATTGTTTTACTGCATTTCACACACTTTCGTGAGATGTAAGCGAAAATGAAAAGCTATGACCACCCTCTATAACTTACCGCAGTAGCTTTTCCATCCCCTTAATTTTTATCTCTATGGGTCTTCAAATTTAAAGTTGTATTTTCATTTTCATTTAGTTCAAAATATTTTACAATTCCTCTTGAGACTTCCTTGATCCATTTTTTATTTAGAAGTGTGATGTTACGCCTTCATGTATTTTAATGTTTTCCAGTCATCTTTCTGAATTTGATTTCTAGCTTAATTTCACTGTAGTCATAGAGCATAATTTGCATGACTTACATGCTTTTAAATAAGTTGCTTTTTAATGGCCTAGATAGTGATGTGTCTTTGTGAACATTCCATGGGAGCTTCAGAAGCATGTGTATTCTGCTGTTGGGTGAATTATTCTACACATGTCAATTGGATTAATGTCACTGCTGACTTGAATTATAATATGTCTTCCCTAATTTTTTGCCTGCTTAATCTGCTAATTACTAGTAGAGAGATGTTAGAGTCTCAAAGTACAGTAGTAAATTCATCTATTTTTCCTTGAAGTTCTATTAGTTTTTGCCTAACATATAGTGATGCTCTGTTTTTAGGTGTGTAAACACTAAGGATTGTTATGTCTTCTTGGAGAACTGACAGCATTTTTATTATGTAATTACTCTCTTTATTTCTGATAATTCTTCTTGTTCTGAAGTGGGATGTGTCATTAATAGAGCTACTCCTGCTTTCTTTGAATTACTGTTAGCATGCTACTGTTGCCAGTGGACTGTTTCAGGTTCTTGACTTTGCTGCACAAAAAAATTTGAGAACGAGTCCAAAGTAACAGTAAGCAAAAGAGTTTATTGCAAAGCAAAAGTACACTCTGACAGCTGATCAGAGCAGGCTGCTCAAAGGTGAGACAGCCCTGTCTGATGCAGGGGGATCGCCCTTTATGGGAGATTTACATGATTATTCATGGAGGGGTGGGAAGGGGTGTTCTGATGAGTATGTTATGGGTAGTCCCCTGGCTGCACAGGTGCTGTGGTTGTACATGCTAGGACTTAACATTGCATGTATCATTAGCATCTTAAATCTCCACCCAGGGGTGTTTTTCTTTTACTATTATAGTGAATATAGGTCAGTCCAAGGACACTAATCATGGGTTTCTGTGCTTGTGTGAATTTGTGAATTCTCCCTTCTATTTTTCTACCTCCTTGCTGCAGGATGTTCTAACCCTGAGCCCATGATGTGGTTTGTGCACTGTCGGGTAGTTTATTCTCTCCATCTATTTAGCAAGTTTGTTCTCCTTTAAGGGAGGCTATGACCACCCTTTATAATTTACCTCAGTATCTTTTCCATCCCCTTAATTTTTATCTCTATGAGTCTTCAAATTTAAAATGAGCTTCTTGTAGACAGCTGGGTCTTGTTTTTTGATTTACTATGACAGTCTCTGTATTTTAATTGGTGTGTTTTAGACCATTGACAGTTAAGATGATTATTGATATAGCAATTAATATGTACCATCTGTGTTAATGATTTTTCTTTGCCGTCCTTGCTCTTAGTTATTTTTGTCGCGCATAGTTTTCTACTTTTTGTGTTTTAATTGAGCACTTTATATAATTTCATTTTCTCTCCTCCCTTAGCATATCAATTATACTTTTTTAAAGTTTTAAAACATTAGTCCTAGAGTTCGCAGTATATTTTTACAACTAATCCAAGTACACTTTCAAATGACACTATACCACTTCACAGGTAGAAGATATATTAATAACACAATATTCCTAATTCTTCCTTCCTTTCCCTTTTATCATTGCTATCTCTCACTTCATGTCTACAAAAGTATACAAAAGCATATATATATGCATACATAACCATATATTGTTGCTGTTATTATTTTGAACAAACTATTATGTCTTTGATCAATTAAGAACAAAAAAAGAATGTTTTACTTTACTTTTACTTATTAATTCATTGACTCTCTTCTTTTATTTATGTAGATTGGAGTGTCTGACCTACATCATTTTCTTTCTGAACTTCCGTTAACATTTCTTGCAAGGTAGGTCTACCAGTAACAATGCCTTCAGGTTTTATTTGTCTGAGAAGAACTTTAGTTCTTATTACTTTTGAAGGATAATTTTACAGGGTGCAGAAATCTAGGCTGGTGGTTTTTCTCTCAACCTCACTCTTCTTGCTTGCATGGTTTCTAAGAAAATTTAAGAAGTAATTCTTATTTTTGCTCCTTTATATGTAAGGTATTTTTCCTCTCTGGCTTCTTTCAAGACTTTTTTTTTTCTTATTTTTGATTTTCTGAAGTTGAATATGAAATGCCTAGGTGTAATTTTTCTTTTCATGTATCCTGTTTGGTGTACTCTGAGCTTTCTTGATCTCTGGTTTGGTGTCTGACACTAGTTTGGAAGGAATTTTCAGTCATTATTGTTTCAAATATTGCTTCCATTTTTTTCTCTCTTTCCTGTCCTTTTAAAATTCCAAATATATATATTAACTCCTTTTGTAGTTTTGTTACTGTTCTTTGATATTCTATTCTGTTTTTACTGAGTAATTTTTTTCCTTGCTCTTTAGTTTTGGAAATTTCTATTATCATATCATCAAACTCAAAGATTCTTTTCTGGCTATGTCCAGTCTATTAATGAGCCCATCAAAGCCCTTCTTTATGTCTATTACAATGTCTTTGATCTCCAGCACTTCTTTTTTGATTTTTTTCTTTGTATCCCCATCTCTCTGTTTACATAATTCATCTGTTCTTGCATGTTGTCTGTTTACTAGAGTCCTTAGCACATTAATCACAATTATTTAAAATATCTGCTTTGATAATTCCAACATTCCTGCCATACTTGACTCTGCTTATGATGCTTGTTCATACTTTTCAAACCGTTTTTTTCTTTGCATTTCAGTCTATCTTGGAATTTTTTTTTGTTGAAAAGTGAACACAATGTACTAAGTAAAAGCAGCTATAGTAAATAGGCCTTTAGTAATGTAGTGATAGAGTGTAAGGGGAAGGGGAGCATTCTATAGTCCTATGATTACGGCTCAGTCTTTTGGTGAGACTGTGCCCCTTGACTGTGAACTTCATCAGTGCTTCTCAGTTCCTCCCCGACTTTAGATGAGACATAATGGCTGAAGGGAGGACGAAGTTGTATATTTCCCTTTTTCCATGTGGAAATCTAAAAGGGATTGTAGTTGAGTGTTTCTCTTCCCCCACATGAAAGGCCAGAAGGAGATGGAGTTATTTATTCCCTTTTGTGCATGTGGAAGGCTACAGCCAGTTGAGTATTTTCCTTCTGTCACATATAGTAGGCTCTGATAAAACCCCAGCAGATTAGGCCCTAGTAAAATAGTTTCTCCTGGTGCAGGTCTTGTGAAAAAGAACTGAATACTCCAGCATGTTTCCAAATGGTTCCTTTCCCCTTCCTCCTGCCAGAAGCATGAGGACATTTTTTCCAACATTCACTGAGAACCTAGTAGAGTTTCTGGAGGCATAATTCACAAAAGTATGGAGACCTTCAATGAGTGTACCCACTTGAAGTTTTTAACTTTCAGAGTTGTTCACATTGAGCTCCAGCAATTTGTTAATTACAGTTTCAGGTTTTTCTACTTCAGCACTGGTGATTTTTTTGTGTGTGTTTTTTTGTTTTTTGTTTTTTCTTTGGTGGAGTTTTGCTCTGTTGCACAAGCTGGAGTACAATGACATGATCTTGCCTCACTGCAATCTCCACCTCCCGGCTTTAAGCAATTCTCCTGCTTCAGCCTCTTGAATAGCTGGGATTACAGGTTCCCGCCAACATGCCCAGCTAATTTTGGTATTTTTAGTAGAGATGGGGTTTCACCGTGTTGGCCAGGCTGGTCTTGAACTCCTGACCTCAGGTGATCTGCCCACCTTGGCCTCCCAAAGTGCTGGGATTACAGGCGTGAGCCACTATGCCCAACCCAGCACTGGGTCTTATGGAGATTTCTGCTCATCATTTCTGCATGAGTTAAGTTTTGCTTCTATGTATCTGCCTGTCTGTCTCTCCAATTTGGGGGTCCTTGGTTTGCTCTCTGATCTCATTTCCATGACAGATCTGAGAAGAGGTGTTGAGTTTTTTGTTTGTTCAACTTTTTACTAGTTGTTAGGATAAAGTATGACTATCAAGCTCCTTACATACTGGTTTAGAACCAGAAGGTTTTCCTCTCATGTTTGAAGGACAGTTTTGCAAATTATAAAATTTCCAGTTGACAATTTTGTTCCTCTGCCTACACTCCTTTTGTTTTATCATACTTGGTGTTCATTGAGATTCTTGGATTTGCATATACATGTCTTAAAAATTTGGGAAATTTTTGATCCTTATGTTACCAGAAAGGAGTCCCGATACAGACCCCAAGAGAGGGTTCTTAGAGCTTACACGATAAAGAATTCAGGGCGAGTCCACAGTGCAAAGTAAAAGCAAGTGGTGAAAGAACAGCTACTCCATAGACAGAGTAGGACATTCCTGAAAGTGAGAGGAAGAACACATCCATCCTAGGTACGATGGTTGCATATATGGGGAGATGTGCTCTCCTACAAGAGTTTTTGATAAAGGATTAATTTTCTTAATTACCATATTTTGCAAGAATCAATATTATTATCTTTAATGCAAAATTAGGAATGCCCTTATTCTCCAGATATTGAGATATCTGGACACTCCCAAGTCTGGGTCTGTTTTAGTAAGCATCATTAATTTGTTCACTGATTCATAAACATCTAGAAGCTAGGAAAATGCCTAATTTTCTGAGAATGCAGTCCAGCAAGTCTCTGCCTCATTTTCCTAGCCCTCACTCAAAATGGAGTCGCTCTGGTTTGAACGCCTCTGACACTTATGTTGTCATATAAATCACTGCCTCCTTCTTTCTCTCTTCTGTTTCTGGAACTTCTGTAATGAATAATTGGACTACTCAATGATGACTCTTAAATACCTTAGACTCTATTCACTTCTTTTTTTTTTTTTTCCTTTTTGGTCCTTAGACTCACTACTTTTAAATAATCTTTTTTTTTGTTTGCTGCTTCTTTCCACTGCCTGCTAAAGTCTTCTGTTAAAGCTGTCTCATAAATTTTTCAATTCACTTACCATATTTTTCATCTCCAGAATTTCTTGTTGGTTCTTTTAAAATAATTTCTGTCTCTTTGTTGATATTCTCCTTTTGTTCATATATTATTTTCTTCACTTTTTAGTTATTTGTCTATGTTTTTCTTTAGATCCTTGAGCATAAGATAGTTGTTTAAAAGTCTTTGTCTAGTATTTCAAATGTCAATGTTTCTTCAGGGACAGTTTCTGCAGCTGTATTTTCTTCTTTGCTTGGGCCATGGCTTTCTTGTCTCTTTGAACACCTTGTAATTTGTTATTGTTATTGTTATTGTTATTGTTATTGTGGAAAATGGGGCATTTAGAAAAAAAGGCATTTCCTCTCCCAATGTTTGCAGACTGAGTCTGTGTAGGAAAAGCTCTTCAATAATTAGAAGGGCATGTTCTTTGACTTTAGATCAGCCTGGTCTGAAGGCTTTCATCTTCTGTGGTCTTTTATCAGACTTCATTTTCTCTGGGCCTGTGTGTGCTTTTATTTATTTTTTCCTTGTGTATACAGCCTTTTAGAAAATGTCTTAATTTCCCTAGGGGTCATAGCCCTGCTTCTTCTCAGAGTCAAGAATATTCTATTTTATTCCTCTATCTGTAATCTCATGCTCCAGGCATTTGCAGGTCTATCATGCATCTCACAGCAGCATTCACGAGCTATGTCTGTTGTCTCTCATTGGTTTTCATAGCCTGAGATCTGAGCTGTTCTGATCTTTGCTGTCTGACCTATGAGTTAGAAACAACAGAGACTAATCCAACATGGAGCTCCCAGACAGGTTAGAACATTTCAAATAAAGTCTGGTTTACCCTTCCAGTTCCAGGGAAGGAATTGGAAGCTCAGCTATCACTTTCCTAAGACCATTCTGTGCAGTTCCAGGGATGGGATGTGGCAAAGCCAAGTAAAAATGCCACACAATTTTCAACTGCTTTGGAAGTGGCTCCGTTTTGTTTGGATGTTCATGTGTTTTCTGTAAACCTTGAGCTGTTTTCCATAGTTCTTAAATGTCAGTTTAACCAATTTGTAGTTTTTTCTTTAATGTTTCCATGGGGGACAAAGTTCTAAAGTTTTCTAGTCTGCCATTTTTCTGACATCACTGAGATTAATTTTATGCCCCAGCATATGTTTTCTTCTAGGTAAATATTCTGTGTACATTTAAAAAAAATGTGTATCTGACAGTTGGTATTTGAAATTTTCTATACATGTCAATTAGGTCAAGTGGTAATGCTGGTCAAATCTTTTACACTCTTACTGAATTTTTGTCTTCTTGTTGTAGAAGTTTTTGATATAGGGGTATAAAAATGTCTGACTAGGCCAGGCGTGGTGGCTCATGCCTGTAATCCCAGCACTTTGGGTGGCTGAGGTAGGTGGATCACCTGAGGTCGGGAGTTCAAGACCAGCCCGGCCAACATAGTGAAACCCCATCTCTACCAAAAATACAAAAAATTAGCTGGGCGTGGTGGTGGGTGCCTGTAATCTCAGCTACTCAGGAGGCTGAGGCAAGAGAATCGCTTGAACCTGGGAGGCGGAGGTTGCAGTGAGGCGAGATTGCACCATTGCACTCCAGCCTGGGGAACAAGAGTGAAACTCAGTCTCAAAACAAACAAACAAACAAAAATCTAACTGTAATTGTGGAAAGAAAAATGTTTATTTTTCTTATAATCTTTATATTTTGCTTCATGTATATTGAATGTACATGACTTGTTATATAAACATTTAGGTTTTTTATTTCTCTTGACAAACTGACCCTTTTGTTATTTTGAAATGACTTTATCTCTAGTAATACCCATTCAACTGAAATTTACTTTGTGTGATACTACTATAGTCACTCCAGATTTCTTTGAGGTAGTGTTTATTATATATTTTTTCGTCTTTTTACTTGTGTTTTTCCATTTAAAGTATGTTTTTTTGGAGGCAGAATACTGTTAGCTTTTGCTTTCTTTGAATCTAATCTGTCAATATTAGAGTTTTTGGGCAATTGATACTAATGTGATTATTAATATGGTTAGATTTAAGTTTATTTTCTTAAAATGGTTTTTCATTTGTTCCCTCTGTGCTTTGTTACTTTTTCTCTTTTTTAGCCCTTTTTAAAGGATAATTGAGAATTTCTTTAAGAATTTCATCTTATCTCTTTGATTGGCTTATCAGCCTTTACTCTTTGTTGGCATATTTTAGTGGTTGGTTTAGGGTATGTAGCATATATTTTTAACTTTTCACAGTGTATATTCAAGTTATAGTATATTACTTCACATATAAAATTTTTGAATAGCATACTTCCATTTTTCTCCTCATAGGCATTGTGCCATCACTGCCATAAATTTGACTTCTACATGTGTTATAAACCTCATGCTATATTGTTATTACTGTTACTTAGACAATTATATTTTAAAAATACTTAAATAATAAGAAAAACATTCCAGAATTTTATTCATGTAGTTACCATGTCCAGTGTCCCACAGTCCTTTGTATGCATTTATATTTCCATCTAGTATCAGTTTTTCAATTTTCTTCTGCCTAAAAACTTTCTTTAACATTTATTGTAAAGTGGCTATGTTGGAGATGAATTATTTCAGGTTTTCTAAGTCTGAAAAATGTCTTTATTTTCATTTTTTAATGTTTTTTTCACTGCTTCTAGAATTTTAAGTAGAAATATTCTTACTTTAAGTACTTAAATAAAATTTCTAGTTATATCATACAATGATTAGATTTTTTAAAAATAGTTTTTCACATGTACTTTGAAGTTTTTAATTTCTGTTCGTACAATGCTGCCATTATAATGGCACTTAAATATCACTACAACCCAAGCATTTTTCTGAGTGTCCAGTACGTATCCATTCACTTAATGTTCACAGGAAGATTTGGAGGCATGCCCTGTTATTATCCCCACTTAAGAGGCCAAGAGAGTACTTGCCCAGAGTTGCTCAGTTAGTAAAACATGTTCCATAGGTGAATAAAACTTTGCCTTTGCAAACTTTAAATGTTGAAAGATAGGTTTAAAGGGTGATTATTGTTATTATTTTTTAACTTTTATTTTAGGTTCGGGGTACATGTGCTGATTTGTTAGGTAGATTACACATCATGGGGGTTTGGTGTACACATTATTTTGCCACCCAGGTAATAAGCACAGTACTAGATAGGTAGTTTCTCAGTTGTCACCGTCTTCCCTCCCTTTACCCTCAAGTAGGCCCCAGTGCCTGTTGTTCCCTTCTTTGTGTCCATATGTACTCAGTGTTTTGCTCCCACTCATAAGTGAGAACATGCGGCATTTGGTTTCCTGTTCCTGTGTTTGTTTGCTTCGTATAATGGCCTCCAGCTCCATCCATGTTGCTGCAAAGGACATGATCACGTTCTTTTTTATGGTTGTGTAGTATATTCTGTGGTGTATATGCACCACATTTTCTTTCTTTCTTTTTTTTTTTTTCGAGCGGGAGTCTTGCTCTGTCACCCGGGCTGGAGTGCAGTGGTGCGATCTCGGCTCACTGCAAACTCCGCCTCTGGGGTTCACGCCCTTCTCCTGCCTCAGCCTTCCGAGTAGCTGGGACTACAGGCGCCCACCACCACGCCTGGCTAATTTTTTGTATTTTAAATTGAGACGGGGTTTCACCGTGTTAGCCAGGATGGTCCCCATCTCCTGACCTCGTGATCCACCGGCCTCCACCTCCCAGAGTGCTGGGATTACAGGCGTGAGCCACCGCGCCGGGCCTATGCACCACATTTTCTTTATTCAGTCTACCATTGATGGGCATTTAGCTTGATCCCATGTCTTTGCTATTGTGAATAGTGCTGCAATGAACATACACATGCCTAGGTCTACCATTCTCATTACTGGGTAGAATAGTAATTCTGTTTTGAGTTCTTTGAGAAATCACCAAACTGCTTTTGACACTGACTGAACTAATTTACATGTCCACCAGTAGTGTCTAAGCATTCAAAATGGTGACTTTTTGTTTGTTTGTTTTTGAGAAAGTCTCACTCTGCTGCCCAGGCTGGAGTGCAGTGGTGCGATCTCGGCTCACTGCAACCCCTGCTTCCTGGGTTCAAGTGATTCTCATGCCCTAGCCTCCCAAGGAGCTGGGATTACAGGCATGCACCAACACGCCTGGCTAATTTTTGTATTTTTTGTGGAGAAGGGGTTTCACCATGTTGGCCAGTCTGGTCTCGAACTCCTAACCTCAAGTGATCCGCCTGCCTTGGCTTCCCAAAATGCCAGCATTACAGGCATGAGCCACTGCACGCAGCCTCAAAAGTGTGATTTTTTAAAGAGCAAATAAAATACATCAAAATTAACTTATATCTGAAAAAAAGAAACTTAATAGACCAGTACTTTGATATGTGATTCAACTAGAGCTTTCATAAAAAAACTTTAGGCTCCCTAAAATGGCTCTTTATTGGATTAGTACAATTGGCTGAATTTTTGTTTAAGGGTAAAATTTGCCCAAGAATGTAGGGCTTTAAAATTTATTTGCCGGCGGGGTGTGGAGGCTCACGCCTGTAATCCCAACACTTTGGGAGGCCGAGGTGGGCGGATCACGAGGTCAGGAGATCGAGAGCATCCTGGCTACGGTGAAACCCCGTCTCTACTAAAAATAAAAAAAAATTGGCCGGGCGCGGTGGTGGGCGCTTGTAGTCCCAGCTACTCTGGACGCTGAGGCAGGAGAATGGCGTGAACCCGGGAGGCGGAGCTTGCAGTGAGCTGAGATCGCACCACTGCACTCCAGCCTGGATGACAGAGCGAGACTCCGTCTCAAAAAAAAAATACACACACACACACACACACACACACACACACACACACACTCTCAGCCGGGCGTGGTGGCGGGCGCCTGTAGTCTCTCTCTCACACACACACACACACACACACACACACACACTCTCTTAGCCGGGCGTGGTGGCGGGCGCCCGTAGTCCCAGCTACTCGGCAGGCTGAGGCAGGAGAATGGCCTGAACCCGGGAGGCAGAGCTTGCAATGAGCCCAGATGGCGCCACTGCACTCCAGCCTGGGTGACAAAGCAAGCCTCCTTCTCAAAAAAAAAAAAATAAAGAACAAATCATATGAAACAAAAAAATAGCAGTTCTAACATGAATGTGAATCTGTATTTAATGGCAACTACACTTAGGTGTTTATGAGAGAATATTACAATTTCATAAATTTACATTGAACACTTAAGAAAAGAAACATATTGGCACAAAACTCTTTGAACCATGAAAAGTCCACTTTATTCAATATTTATGTGGAAATTATTCTGGCATAACTTCATTCTACACTGCTACAACAGGAAACTATAGGAACATAAGGACAAAATGCCAACATTTAACTGCAGCCTTTCCTGGGAAACATAATATGTTTAAATAGCCTTTAGAGACAAAGAAAAGTCTATTTAATTTATGGCATGAAAAGAAATGTGACAACAAAGCATTTTGTAGTCATGGTTATCAGTCTTTGAAAAAGTTCTTAATAGGATTTGGGTTTATTTTAATTAATGAAAATAAAATATGAATAATTTATTGAACTCAGTATATTATAGCAGTGGGAACTTCTCATAAATTATTCTCAGATAATTTTCACAAGCTAATCAAAAAAGACATAATTCTGTTTATTATGAAAAATGGGATCCAAGGTTTCGAGAGAACTTTCGTGTCTTGCTATTGTTTCTAAAGTCTCCCTCCAGACCATCTCATTTCTGAGTCACAGACTTTCCTAAATAACAAGTGCAGCCAAATATGTTATCACTTCAGGGTCATTTTTGTTTGTTTGTTTTCTCCCTTTCTCTCTCTCTTTTTTTGTATCCTTATACCCGGCAGCAGTTTCTTTGAAAATTTGGACCAGAAGGTGCATAACAAGTTGTTCTGCAGAAGTTCTTATCTGATATTCTTAGGGAGCTATCCTGCATGTAATCTTCATTTTTTTTTTCTCTACCATCATGTAGGCATACTCAGTGTAGACTACCACAATCCTGGATACCTCTCTGCTTAGATTTACAATCTCTGCTAAGATTTGCCACTGCAGAAAGTGTAGTAGTTTCACTACATATGAAAAAAAAGACTGCCTTCTAACTGCGTACTTATTTCTAGCTTCTAGATTGCACATTTACAGTGTTTGCAAAAGCAATAACTATTCTTACCGGTAGGAGATGAATTACACACTCCTTCTTCTTCTATAATAAGAGTTATCTACCTTCTGGTCAAAGTGCTTCCTTAAGGCACTTCGAAGCTCATCTGCTGGCAGGCATGAAGCATGCTGTTCCCCTGAGCCTTCACGAACTGGATCTACTCAAGACAAAACAGTCTCTGCTTCATTATATTCAGAAATTCAGGCTTGCCAAGAGGCTGTTTAGTGTTCTGAAACACAAATGCTGGCAAATCAAAAATTCTCCCAAACACGTATCTACCAATTTTTGCTCCGTAAATAGGAACAGTATTTTCTCATATCCTTAGATTAGCTGAGTTAAAAAGATGCCCCAAACATTGAGTCCCATTATTTTAAGCTTGAAGTTTTATAATTATAGCTTTATCCTTGCCCCATGAGAGACGCATTCTCTATCAAGCCATTCAAGCAAGGATCAGTTTTCAGTTTAGATAAAACTACAAAATGAATAAATTCACTTCTGACATTTAATTAATGCCTTTCTTTACTCTCTCCTACCCCTACACTCCACCCCTTATAGTACTTGCCTCCTCTCATTCTCCCCATCTCCAGCCCAAATCCAGATGACTTCTGCTATATTAAAGTTTGCTTTCAGGAAAAGATCTGAAATCCGTAAGCGGTTTCATACTAAATATTAGCACACTTCAATGGTAGAACATTGATTTGCTGAAGTCTGGGGTTGATTTCCTAGCCCCTAAAATCACATTCTAACTGTGACTACGTGTTCTTTCTATAAGTTTAACATAGATTTAGGGTGAGACTTATCTTTTTATATAAACGAAAATATTTGGGAGAATGCTTTCTTTGTTTCTTTCTTTTTTTTTTTTTTTTTTTTGAGACAGAGTCTTGCTCTTTCACCCAGGCTGGAGTGCAGTGGCGTGATCTCGGCTCACTACAAGCTCCGCCTCCGGGGTTCAAGCGATTCTCCTGCCTCAGCCTCCCAAGTAGCTGGGACTACAGGCACTCACTACTATATCCGGCTAATTTTTTGTATTTTTAGTGGAGATGAGGTTTCACCATGTTAACCAGGATGGTCTCGATTTCCCGACCTTGTGATCTGCCCACCTCGGCCTCCCAAAGTTCTGGGATTACAGGCATGAGCCACCGCACCCAGCCAAGAATGTTTCTTTCATACGTGAGCACATAGGGTATTTCATGTATTAGCATTAATGTTCCTTATCAAATATGCAATCAGGGGCTCTCTATAGAATCAATTTCAATAAAACAGTTAAGCAATTTTTTAATGGAGTAGGCATTGATTATAATTTTCTCCTCTTCTGACTTTTCAATTCTTCCCAATTAGCCAGTGATAAGAAACTGGAAAGAAAATTTCAAATTGTTTACCATTCACTTGTTTTTTTTAACCTACTGTAGTTTGGAAGGATTAAATTTTAGGCTAGCTGATTCATTTCACAAAAAAATTTATAAAATTTATAATTCATTTCACACAAAAAAAGTTTTAATAAAAAATATTTCCCTTTGTATTTGAGCTCAACTTAATTCTCAATTGGCCCTGAAATGTGAGAATTGTTTTCCTAAAATATTGATGGATGTCAGAAGGCCACAAGAAGTGAGACCTCATCTTTTTTGCTCTATGAGAACATCAATCTTTCTATTTCTGTGAAAAATAAGGAAAGGTAGGTGGACTCTGGTGATTTCCTGATGTTGAAGTTAATAAAAAGCTCCATTCAAAACTACGATATTCGGCACAATTAATCTTCCCTGTTAATATAAACAGAAGAAAGAGTAAACTGTTTGATCTCAAAGCTCTGGTTTAATTTCTAGCAAGTACGATTACTTCGGTTCATAATTTAAAAAATGAAAGCTTTAGATTTCTATTCCAAGCCATTACTTGATAAATCATTCATTAAAGAACATGAATGCACAAAACAAAAATAAACTTTTTTTTTAAAATTTGGTAAGTGTCAGTGTTCTAGGATGTGCTGGCCATTCTTTGTGGAGGTCCTCAGAACCACCCTCTACCCTTCCAGCCCCAGTGTCACCCTTCCTGCCCGAGTGTCACCCTTCCTGCCCGAGTGTCACCCTGCTCCCCTCCCAGCTGACTTCCAGTTGGTTTTGGCTAATGAGAGACACCCACAGAAACAGTAAGGTTTCAGAAGTCAGAGCTCAAAAAGTTTCTTCCCTACTCACTCCTGTTTCCAGGTTCTGACAAGAAATTCTTTTACTTCTATGACTGTGGCTCCTGCCAGACCTTTGTGTTCCCCGGCTGCTGCCTTCTGGGGATCTGGCAGCAACCGTTCCTCCCTCTGCGCCTCTGCTGTAGGTAGTAAAGGCTTTCTGCTAGTGCTTGTCTTTGGTTGCCACAACGTCACCTGGTGGGTCCCTTCACTTTTCTTTACAGCCTGTTCCTTTAAACTATCTGAGCAAATCATGCTTTCTTTCTGGGCCTTGACTAATGCAGTAGTGCATTTTAAAAATCTGACTAATATCACATTGCATTGCTTAGAAAAATATCATAAGAAAAATAATTCTTTGAGAAGTAGCATATTTGTGAAAGTAGATCTATTTAGGAATTAAAATGCTATTAGATTGGCAGGCAAATGTTATATTTTTGTATTCTCACTCTATTTTCTAGAACTGAAAACTAAGTTCTAGCTTAGACTGCAATGCACACGGTATACTACAAAGAGAGACGATAAAATTGCAGGATGAGAGTATAAAGTACAAGGTAAAACCTTATTGAAACAAAATAAGCACAACTCTATGTACAGGTTGTATGTGTTTATATATAAGAGCCAAGGCCGGGTGTGATGGCTCACGCCTGTAATCTCAAGACTTTGGGAGGCCAAGGCGGGTGGATCACTTGAGCTCAGGAAGTTCGAGACCAGCCTGGGCAACATGGAAAAACCTTGTCCCTACCAAAAATACAAAAACTTAGCCGGGTGTGGTGGCACTCACTTGTTCTCCCAGCTTCTCAGGAGGCTGAGGCACAAGAATTGCTTGAACCTGGGAGGCAGAGGTTGCAGTGAGCGAAGATCACACCACTACTGCACTCCAGTCTAGGCGACAGAGCGAGACTCTGTCTCAAAAAAAAAAAAAAGAAGAAGAAGAAGAGCCAAAACAAGGATACATAAGGATACATACCAGCCTGTCAGCCTGTTATGTATCATTGGTTACCTCAGTGGGGTTGGGGTGATGGTAGTGGCAATTATTAACATTTTCTTTATACAATTCTTTTAAAAATGTTCCTTTTGTAATTCAAAATATTCAAGAACAAATTTCAAAAGAGTCTGTCTTAACAAACATTTACATTCTTATAATCCAGAAGCTAGTCATCAAACACACCTCAGTATCATCATTTGTTCCAATATAAATATACTCACTTCCTAAATATGTGCTACTGCAAAGTAGATCTTATTCCTTTCTTATTCTGGTTGAATCATACAACCATTATCCAGATTGAAATAAAAAATATAATTGTATTTATTATCCATGTTAAGGTTAAATAGAAGGTAAGAAGTTTCAAAGTTTAAATTGCATTATCATGGAAAGTAGGGAAGAAAGGAAATAAAGCAGCAACCCATAAAACATTTATATTTGTGATATTCGATATTTTTTCTGGGACATCCAGTGTTCTAGTTACATCGGCCATCTCGAATTCATGCCTTCATTTGTTCAGTAAGTGTGTAGTGTGTGATGATTGTGACGGATGCTTCTCTACTAGGCAAAGTAATTTTTAGAGCCTCACTACTCTTAGTCTGCAAAGTTCATTGCCAGCATTATCACCACAGCAAGTGTCTATGCTGATTTAAATAATAACCATATAGCAGCAATTATAGCCACATAAAATGCATTTCAAGACACACATTTATGTCTAAGGACTTCAAGTCCCCTAACCAAACAACTTAAGTAGAATAAACCTAAATAAGTTTTAAGTCAAAAGCAGGGGAATCAAAACAATTACAAGCCTCCTGTCTTAGAAGAAAATGCTGATGCTTATTGGCTTAACCATATAAAATAGTGTATATACGTTTACTAGACATGAACAATTTGGAACAAATTTTGAGTGTACCTATAAGTGTGTAAAATGTATATTTTATGTATTGGGAATAATATTCATAAATATATTCCTCCAATGTTGTAAAAAATGCATGCACCCTCACTACGCTAGTGATTTTACAGTTTAATGAAGCCATTTTGTTTTAATTGCAAATGTCTACCACCGTAGAAGTTTCTTGGCTTTTCTCCATTAAGCCTAACACTTTGAACACCCAAGTTCACTTTTTTTTTTTTTGTCTTGAGACGGAGTCTGGCTCTGTCGCCAAGCTGGAGTGCAGGGCGCAATGTTGGCTTGCTGCAACCTCTGCCTCCCGGGTTCAAGAGATTCTCCTGCCTCAGCCTCCCGAGTAGCTGGGACTACAGGCAGGCACCACCACGCCCGGTTAATTTTTTGTATTTTAATAGAGACAGGGTTTCACCGTGTTGGCCAGGATGGGCTCCATCTCCTGACCTCTTGGCCTCCTCGGCCTCCCAAAGTGCTGAGATTACAGGCATGAGCCACCGCACCCGGCCAAGTTCACATTTTTAAAGACTCCATCTGATGCCTGACAAATTGGTATAATAATAGATTGACATTTGTTGTTTTACTCTAGGTCCAATTTAGAAGATGATTTCCATTTTCTCTCTTTCTGTCTCACTGAAGGCAACTGATCTGTCAATCAAAACTTTAGATTTATAAGATTTATAATTTTTTCTGTAATAAAAGACGTGCTATTTACAGAGTTCTTGTGCAAAAGTAGTTTAAGTGAACCCAATTAATAATTCAAGAATGACTTTGTAAGATTCTTCATCTATTACATTTGAATTCATTTTACATTTTACATTTTACATCTATTACATTTGAATTCATTTTAATGAAAAAGCCTTTCAAAGTTGTCTTTCCAAAGGGAAGATTAATACACTATTTCTTAGAGATACCATCTAAAAAAGTTAGTATCTTTCTTTCTTTTTTCTTTTTTGGAAACTCGCGGTGGTGGTAATGTGAGTGAGTTTGTCAATCTTTGCCCCTACTGTGAATTTGAGAAGCAGAGGAAGAGAAAAAGAGAAAGACCCCCCCGCCCCCTGCCTCCGCCCCTCCCTCTAGCACACAGCAGGCGCGCAAGGAGTGCAGTGTTAGCTGCTGCTGGACTGAGCTCCTCATCCTACACTTGCAGGGGTTGCTCTTTTGGACAGAAAGCTGGAATAAAACGTAAATTTTAGACATCCACCAAGGCCAGGACTAGGGTGAAGGGACTAACGCACTAGTCTCAGGAGCAACTGTTAAGTAACGCTAATCCTGAATGAATGAAATAGTTTTAAAATTGAATGTAATCGCAAAGAAAAAAAAAACCCATGATAGACAAAATATTAAAACTTTAAATAAAGGCTTGCACTCGCACAACCCAGGCTCACCGGCCTCTCCCTGCTCCTGGCCCGGTTTCCCAGCTTGGTTCTCTACAAGTCAGAATTCCTAGCAAAATCAAAGTGTGCGCGCGTCTGCCCGAGTACACGCCGCAGAGTTATTTCTGCCCCATCTTCCCTATTTGAACTCAAACAGGACAGGATTTTCCTGGGTGCAGCCCCTGCGTTGGGTGAACAGCGGAGTGATAAAGCCTGGCGTTCTCCACCTGCAGGCGGAGGCTGACGGCGCGGTCTTCGGAGCGAGTCCGTGCACCACGGCCGCCCCGCCCCGGTGGGAGAGAGGGACGGAGGAAGCTGCCGGTATAACGGGAGGAGAGCGCCAGGCGGAGCTGGGGCGTCCCTCCCGCTCGCTTCTTGACTCGCGTTGCTGCCGGCCGCCTCCCGCGCCTAGTGTCCGGGACGCGCCTGAACCTGCCGCCTCCGTGCCTGGGGCGGCGCCGCGCGGCCCCGAGCGCTCCAGAAAGCTGCGGTGCGAGTCCGCGGGGCCGACCTCGGAGACGCAGCTGGGGCCGGGCGCGGCTTGGCGGGAGGGTCTGCAGCGCCGAGGGAGGCTGCTAGTGCGTGAGGAAGAGAGCTAGAGACTGGACAGGGGAGACAGAGCAGCGTCAGAGCCGCGCAGGGGACGGGAGTGAGAGCAGGAGCGACGCAGAGCAGCCGTCGCCGTGCCCGGGTCTCAGGGCGCCTGGCTGAAGTGAGCATGGCTTCAGTGGCCTGGGCCGTCCTCAAGGTGCTGCTGCTTCTCCCCACTCAGACTTGGAGCCCCTTGGGAGCAGGAAATCCACATAAGTACAGCAAATGGTTTAAAACTTGCGCTAGGCTGTCTGGAAAACTTTGTTTTTTTTTTTTTTTTTTATTATCGGTAATATTTGGAAGTGGAATTGCAGAACATGCTCCTGAACATGAAGTACCTTAAAAAAATATTTGGAATTGCAACCCGAAAAAGACGATTTTGTTTACAATAGACTTTCCTCTTGTGGGGGAGTCTAAGATATACCATGCATGTTTTGAATTTTTAATCGATGTACTTGAATATTCATTGAGAAAGTGGACGTTTCTGTAAAACCTGAAAAGAGCATCTTAATAAGAGATTAGCCTGCAAATGCTGTCATTTATTCCTTTTTAGGATTGTAATATTTTGTAGGAATTAAGTCTAACAGGGAAAAAACTGGCAGACATTACATCATACTGCATCAACTTAGATGTTAGCAGCTTACAGTTTTGCCGACCTTGGCAGCTTCAGAGTTAAAATGCTAATTAACTTCCATGCAGTATAGGGACAGAGCGCCTGTAGGCGAAACTAAATTAATAACCTGCCCTAACTACTAAGGGAATAACACTTGAACACCCCTGTCAGGGGCTTCGTTTCTCATAGTAGAAAGTTCTTGCTTAAAGACAAAACTCAGCCAGTCATTTAGGTAATCTTGAAAATGATTCCTCTCTGGATGCTAATATTTTACATTATTTAATTTGCCATCAGGTTCCCTGTTTTTTATTTTCCTTAATTTGGTAAACACCTAGGAAGCCTTTATTTCTAGAATGGGCTATGATTCTAATGTAATGATGATATTCCAGACCGATGAGCAAAACATAATGTACCCATATTTTATCACACATAAAAATGTTTACACAACATTGCACATTTTTTTTTGGCTTGGAGTAAATCTCTATCAGAGAGCTTTCTTTCTTGATTAATCAAACCATGAGATTAGAATTTTTAAAATGTCTTCCTCTTCCTTCTCAAATCACTTTTATTTTTCTTTCAGTGGCATCTCCCCGCTGTCAGCCTCAGCCCTCTCCTACCAAAATCTCTTTCGAAATAAGTTCCAATAAACGCCAGTGGCCATGTTTGGAAATTTAGATTATTGCAGGATAACCAAGGGTAGCTTTCAGCAGTTCTCCTAAACTGTCATGAAAAGTTTGCCGTAGCTCAGTGCTGTTCTGCCCGCGGGCTCAAGGGTGGGTTGGTTCTTCACACACAGGGCACGCACATGGGTTCATGAACTCACTGTGCATCATGATTCAGTTGCGCCTCAGTTAATCCTACACTTGGTGTGCCCTTCCAAAAAACAAGCTCCGGATTCCTTTGGTCAGATGCTGTACCGTGTTTCAGATTCAACTTTAATCTGCTTTTGTGAGAAGCCTTTGTGAATAAAACGTTGTTACTTAAATCAAAATCCTTGGGTCTTGTAATGGAAACTGCCGTTTGGCTTAAATAAACATATAAATGAGTTACTTATAGAAAGGCATGCTAGAGTAATTGACCAATCAACTGGCAAAATACAACAACAAAAAAAGTCACTAGAGGTCACTCTTACTATTGAATAAACAGGGCTTCAAAAAGACCTTCCTGGAGAAAAGCAAAGCAATGAAATCTGAGTGAGACCCTGCCACCACCTTTCCTGTTTTTGTTGCATAGTTGTGATTACTTTTTATTCTCAGGATTAGTTGTATTGATAGTTATTTTGCTTGGAATCCAGTGGAAGGATTACAAAGCCCATAGAAATTAAGCTCTTCTCGTTTATAGTGAACATTCTTTTTGGAGGAGGGGAGGGCAGGGACAGATATTCCAAATGGACTCAGCACCAGACGGGACTCTCGCGAGTTGCTGAGTGACACGTAAAATTTCAATACTACTACTGTGGGTGTTTTCAGTCTTCTTTCGTTGATGAAACTTAGTATCCTCATATCTAATAAATTTTACTAATTTTAAATTACCTTTTAGATCAAGTAATTCTTCCAGATAAAACTATGTAACTGTAATAATTATACCACCTTCAATACCAAGAAGAAAGTCAATAAGGACATCTAAAAGTTTCCTTCTCATGTAGACACCATGAGTTGCTCACGTTATTCACAGCTGGTTTTCGAGAAGCACGTTGGCCACCCACGAAGGCAGCCTGTTGATGATGGCATGAAATGGCTCTTCATGGGAAGAGCTCTATAGGCCGGGCACAGTGGCTCGCGTCTGTAATCCCAGCACTTTGGGAGGCCGAGGTGGGTGGATCACCTGAGGTCAGGAGTTCGAGACCAGCTTGGCCACCATGGTGAAACCCTGTCTCTACTAAAAATACAAAAATTAGCCGGGCGTGGTGGCAGGCATCTGTAATTCCAGCTGCTCGGGAGGCTGAGGCAGGAGAATCGCTTGAACCTGGGAGATGGAGGTTGCAGTGAGCCGAGATCCCACCATAACACTCCAGCCTGGGCAACAAGAGCAAAACACAAAACTCCGTCTCAAAAAAAAAAAAAAAAAGCTCTCTAAACATTTGGCATTGTGGGGATTATGTGCAGTTTATCTGAATGTTATTTGACCCGACAAATACATGGAAAGCTTTGTTAGGAAGATTCTGCATGAAGGGAAATATTTTCCTAACTTCAGTGCCCATAGACTTGCAGTGAGTGAAAGGTCACTTACTGCTCTCATTGAGTCCCTGAAAACAGCAGGAAGCATCAAGAGAAAGATTGAACTCTGGGCACTGATCCCAGGGATACACAAACAAATGGCTGGGCAGATTTTGCAGAAATTCCTGTAATTGGTAAAATGCTGAGAATAGCCTTTGATGTAACTTTTCAGTGGGTTAATTTATTCATTACTTAGCCTAAAACACTTTTAATTTTAATTGCCTCAATTTTTTCCCCTAAATGGTTATGTTTTGCAAGTTCGCCAGCCAGCCTGGGGAAAGACGGGTAAGCCTACTATAGAGTGTGTGTGGGTTAGTTAGGAAACTCACTTAGATGTGAAATGTGTCAGGAAAGAGATCTCACAGAGTGTAGGAATAATTATTTTTACAGATGTTTCATTTTGGACCTTTTAGTAATACCATTTAAAGAGAGATTCTGCAGATGAGTAACAGACTCTTAATTTTAGTGTCAAATGGTACTCTATAAAAAATGGAGTTCAGGCCGGGCGCGGTGGCTCACACCTGTAATCCCAGCACTTTGGGAGGGTGAGGTGGGTGGATCACTTGAGGTCTGGAGTTTGAAACCAGCCTGGACAACACGGTGAAACCCCGTCTCTACTAAAAATATGAAAAAATTTCAGGGCATGGTGGCAGGTGCCTGTGAGGAGGCAGTGAGCTGAGATCGTGCCACTGCACTCCAGCCTGGGTGACAGAGTGACACTCTGTCTCAAAAAAATAACAAAAAAACCCCAAAAAATGTAGTTCAGTTGCCTTTATTCATTTTCACCAAACTCTACACAAACAGTACGGAGCATAAGTAGCCCATGGAAATGATAATCAATTCCAAGACATTGGTTTGGTCATGAAAAAAGAAAAATCAAATTACTTGGCATTCTTCTTCCTCTTCCTCTCCCCTTCTCTTTTTGAACAATTCAGTCCAAGGTCATTCAGTTCAGCTTAGGCATCCATGCTGGGTAGTGGGGAGGCCCAGGACCGTGGCAGAGCATTCAGAAACCAGCAGGGTAAGGAAAGCATCCACAGTGTAGCAAGGGTGGGGACCTGGAGAGACAGGAGACAGCACTGGTGGTGACCTATAGCAAGTTGTCAGAGGTTGAGTGGAGTGAGGAAAGAGGCATTGGAATGATTGACAGAGGCTAAGAAGACAAGGCAACTAAATACTATTCTGCATTAAATGCTTATGTTATAAAGGACATGATTGGAAATTGGTGAAACTTGAACAAGATTGGGGATTAAATATTGGAACTTTATCCATGATGACTGTGATGATCATATTATGGTTATATAGGAGAACATCTTTGTTGTAGGAAATGTACATTGAAGTATTCAGGGGTGATACAGCATATTAGCATAGTTCTTCCATGTTTTCTGTAAATTGGTTTCAAAATCAAATGGTTACTTTAAAAAACCATTCAAAATTGTGTTTAAAGGAAACATGGACCAATAGAAAAACTCAGAATAAGTAAATGTAGTTAAATTGATGCATTTTACCTAAGAGATGTAGATTAAAAATAAAGAGGCTGAAAAAAAACAATTATGAGAAATAACAGTTCGTTTATGTATGTCTCTAAATCAAATTAGCCTGGATTTCTGAATGACAAAGATGTAATTGGCACTGGGATTGTTCCCCATTCTTTTTGGGACGTTTATTGCCTAGGACATCTGTATCAGTCTTCGAAGTACTTTTTAAAGCTTGAATATCTGAATGAACCCGTCAGACTGACTGTTATCTGGTCTTCTGTAATGGGCTTCCGCACCTTTGACGAGACTCTTAGCTGAAAGGTTGCTTGTCCCTAGGCCCGGTTGCTCCACGTTGTAAGAGCATTTGCAAACGCTTGGTTTTACATGATTGTGCACATGTCAAGTCTGCTCTGTCACTGTAGAAAAAATATTCCTTTTCCACTTGACATATAAAGCATGGAATTGTTTGTTTTAAATGTCTTTTGTCAAGGATTTCATATATCTGCTTGACGTGTTGTGGTACTGTATAAAAGACAAGTGTGAAATTCATTGCTTACTATGATAGCCTTAACACGACTACAGTAAATCTAGTTTTCTAAAAAACGGAGTATATGCTTAGCTTGGTTAAAATTTTATAATGAAATGACTACTCTGGTAATAAATATTAAAAAATATCATAAAGTGGGGGCTAAAAAATGATACTGCATGTGTTCCAGTTAATGAACATTTTTGTTGTAATAATACGAAGAGTGATTGAAATCTGAAAACATTTGAGATTTTAAAATAGTTTTAACCTTGTAACTACAGGATTGTAATTTAAGTAGCATACCTACTTAATAAGGCAGCAATTAAAATTATTGCTAAGAATTAAATTACCAAGAAGACATGGTCTAGTATGTATTGCCTGGGCTGTGGTTTGAATTACTTTTGATTAAGTATAATCACATTTTTTGAGAGTATAAAAACAGAGGATATTACTTGCTTCTAATTCACAGATGTGTTTATGAACCATTGGCAATTACAGCATTTGCAATTGAGGGCCTAAGAAAATTTTAGGTTAAAATAACATGTTGAGTTATGCCTTATAACTCAGTATATGCTTATACTTTATATGCTTTATGGAGTTTTGAATATATAATATATATGTATAATAGTATATTTTTCCAGGAAATATATAACTTGTAGTTCCTTGACTTATTTTGTAACTAAATCCCATGGAAAAAAGTTTATTGAATGTCATTGTTTCTCAGGCAAATGTAGAGTTAAGAAAATGATATATATATACATATTGGGAATCTTTTAGAAGGCTTGGACTTGGTAGCTCAAATCTTCTACAACCTTGAGCTTCAACTTTCTGGCCGGTTCAAGAGATCTCTTCACTGTCCTTTTCATGTAAAGTCAATGTTTATGGAACACTAGACCAAAATGGAAGGATTCCTTTGGAAACTGAACAAACAGTTGAATTAGTCTTTGACTTGATGGAGTGATTTGATCTAAAATATTACCTAACCGTTTTAGATATCTGTTCAATCAGAGCTGCCTCCATATATGCAAATGATAATTTGTCTTGGATTTTTAGATATCTTAGCCCTCAGACAAGCTAATAGAGTTTAAATTGAACCTGGTGTTTTAGGGACAGTTGAATTGTTGGGATGCCCAGGAAAACAGTCACATTTTTCTACAAGTATGTGTTTATTTGGCTGGAATGTGGGTGAGGAAGAAGTTATATGTGAATTAAAAGAAAGATTGTCTCAATGTCACATGTTAAATTAAATTACAGGCAGAACTAAGCGAGTTTACGATTGCTGCCGCTGGGAGCAGAGACTATTTTCAGCTTACATTTATAACAGAAGGAGGGATTTAAAATATAGTATTATGCCTACCCTGATACAGCTAACCTCCTCCACCCGCCCCTCCATGCACATACAGCTACATGCTTACCCTCGAACTATGAAAGAAGGGTGTCTCTCAGACATCCTATATTTAACCCAGCTTTGGACACGTCCCTGGAGTCTAGTCTTTTTGAACACAGCAGTGAAGATAAGGAATGGGGAGGGGGCTTTGATTTCAAGACCACTAGATATAGTAGATTCCTAATTTAATTTCAAAGACAAATCAATTATTAACACAAATACAAAGAGAACAGTATTTTAAGCAAAGCTTCTGTTGTGGCAGATAAACTTTTAAGGTGTCTCCCAGTTGGGTTTCTATTTTAGATGACTTTTTGAAGAATATATCTCTGTAATAGAAATATGTTTGATGATTCTCATCTTTAAGAACTTCACATTTGCTATAATTAAGATATTTATGAATTTATTGTAAGAAGGTTGGTAGAAAAAGTAATGCAACATCAAATGGGAAAATAAATATATAATATTATATAGCTGTTCAAATATAGGGTTTATGATTCTTGAGCTAATTTGAACTGCTGTACAACACCAGGAGAAAAGTCCACAGCTGTGTTAAGAAAGCTCTTATAAGCTTATGAAATTTTATAGCACAGGCTGTCACAGAACCTACAATTTACAAACATTTGTAAAAGTTAGGAAAGTTTTGGGTTCCTCAATAGAAAATGATGTTGCTTAGCTTTAAGAAAGTAACTAATTTATCTCTTTTTATTCTTGTCCACTAACAAAGGAACCCAAATGGTCTTTTAAAATTATAATAAAACTAAGCTAGTAAAATATCACATAGATTTTGAGATACTGTGAATAACCATAGAAAATAACAATTTGTTGTTCTTCATGTATAAAAATAAGCTTAACATGCTTATCAATACATCTTGAACTATAAGAGATTTATTTCAGCAGTGTTGCCAAAGGGCAAGCAATGCCTGCTGCCTGTAGAAAACTTTGAATTCCCTAAGCTCAGGGCTCCTCACTTGTCATGTAACCCACTGCGTGTGCACACATCCATCTGTGCCCATCCATATTCCCCCAGAGGACTTGGAGGCAAGGGAATTGATGCAAATATGCTGATGCTCATATTGTTTGCTATGCTGTAAGTAATACAGTCCTTTGCTTTGACCCAGGAGTCTTCTGCCGCAACGATGAAACAAACTGGCAGACTCATTTGTTAGCTTGCAAGTAGGGTAAAATCTCTCCTCACGGTTCTCATGATCCGCCCGCCTTGGCCTCCCAAAGTGCTGGGTTTACAGGCGTGAGCCACCGCGCCCAGCCCTGCTTTGTATTTTTAAAGGGTTATAACAAGAAGGACATGCAACAGAGACCAGGTGTGACCCACAAAACCAAAAGTGTTTACTATCTGCGTTTTACAGAAAACCTTTGCAGACTCCTGACTTAGACAAATGCCTTATGATTTTATTCTGAATTAATATGACTCTTTCTACAAACAGTTGTCTTTAAATAAAAAGATTTTACAATTATTGTGTTTTCTTTAACTAGAGTGTGTACTTTCATCCTTTTCCTTACTTTTCAAACTTAGAGTTCCATTATTAGGTTATATATTGTAACTCAAGAGGGTGGGAGTAAGTTCAAGACACTACTTTCCTATATGCTTGGACTGGTGTGGAGTAATACTGCTTACGTCAAAGTCAGGCACTCACCACTGCTTCTTATAAGTACTGTTCTTGTTTCACAAAACAAGCCCACATAGTAAAGGGAAGTGATGTCATAAGCATTGTCATTTGTAATTTAGGTGAAATTAGCTGACGATTGTAGTGAAACTTTTAATATTTAACTTCTACTATTGGAAATAAATGTCTATTTTATCTCTTTCTATTCATAGAACATTCTGGACTGCAAATTTTTATCCTTATGTACCCTAACAGTGTGTTATGTCCTGTTACTTTTTGTGTTGTTGTTAACATTAGAATTTAATCTTTAGTTATATATTTGACTAAAGTACCTAATACCAAAGAAAGTGTTACTAGAAAAGCAAATCTAGGTATTTCCACCCAGTCAGTATAAAAAAATACGTTTTTAAATACTCCCAAATATACATACATCGCAACACACAAAAACACCTATAGGGTAGATATTTAACATATTTTAGATAAATGGTAGTACACAATTATATTTTCAGGTAGCATTTTTCACACTTCACAGCATATCCTAAATAAAATTTGGGCTATGATTTCATTTATTTTAATTTAACCTCCACTTTAATTTTTTTCACTTATACTACATAATGCTAAAATGCATGCTTATTTCTTAGATGAGATTTCACAAAAGAAGCCAAACCTCTTTTCACTTGGTTGGGAAATAATTCCTGTTATAGGAATTTTAGATCTGAATTTTCCCCCGTAATTTCTTATTCTGAATTCCAGGTATTATCTTAAATTTGATCAGTTCTAACCTTGCCCCTTCTCACCTCTCTAATGAATGGTGAAGCTCATCGCATCATACCGATGTCCATAAACAAGCGGGAGCAGCAGTCTTCATATAGTAAATACTGTGGAATAGTTTTGTCATAGTTGTTGCTTTTGTCCTATTTTTGTCTTCATATTCAGGCTGCCTGGGCAACAGCTCTGGCTCTGGATGTAAAAGCCCCCTGGGAGGGTTTCAGGGCTGCCTAAGGCTCATCACCATTGGTGACAAAGCGGTGGATCCCATCTTAGTACAGCAGGGGGCGCTGGGGAGTTTCAGGGACCTCCAGATAGACTCCTGCGGCATCACAGACAGGTAAGGGCCATCCTAGGTCACTTTAGCTTGCCTGTTTTCAAAGTTGAAGAAAGCAAATGTAGACAGCTGGAAAAAGGCATTCCGTTCTCTTTTTTGTTGTTGTTATCTTTCGAGAGGGAATGAAATAGTCATAATTACTATGAGGATTAGAAAACTTCATCTTGGCCGGGCGTGGTGGCTCACACCTGTAATGCGGCTGAGGCTGGCGGATCACGAGATCAGGAGATCAACTTCATCCTGGCTAACATGGTGAAACCCCGTCTCTACTAAAAATACAGAAAAAAAAAATTAGCCAGGCGTGGTGGCAGGCGCCTGTAGTCCCAGCTACTGGGGAGGCTGAGGCAGGAGAATGGCATGAACCCGGGAGGTGGAGCTTGCAGTGAGCAGAGATCGCGCCACTGCACTCCAGCCTGGGTGACAGAGCGAGACTCCGTCTCAAAACAAAAGCAAAAACTGCATCTCTAATGGAATAAATAGCATTTTTTAAATGATAGTATTTTATTAGAAGATATACACCTTATGAATTTTACCTTAATATGATCCCGAGTTGCTCAGCTAATAGTTATAAAGCTCGCTTTTGCAACCACACACCCATCAGTTGGATGATATTTTTCCAGGCAGAGGAATTTGCCAGGTTACTATTCATCAGCCACCCAACCCCACATGTTCTGCAGAGAAAATAAAAAGTAATTTCTGCTAGAAAAGTTTGAATCATAAAGACGGATGAAGATGTGTGCAGAAGGACATACTCAATGAAATATGGAGGTTAGACAAGAAAAACATTTAATTCAAATAAGTATTACAACCACAGTTATGCTAGTTGTGCCATAATTTTACAAAGATTTTGGCTGAGAAGAATCGTAGGGTCACACCTGGAAAAATAATATTTCTACATACAATTTGCCCCAGTACATTTGGTATTTACTTTCAGTGAATAAATAAATGCTACAGATTTAAAAATTAAAAAGCGATAATCTGGCCCAGCGCGGTGGCTCACGCCTGTAATCCCAGCACTTTGGGAGGCCGAGGCGGGCGGATCACGAGGTCAGGAGATCGAGACCATCCTGGCTAACATGGTGAAACCCCGTCTCTACTAAAAATGCAAAAAATTAGCCAGGCATGGTGGCGGGCGCCTGTAGTTCCAGCTACTCGGCACGCTGAGGCAGGAGAATGGCGTGAACCCGGGAGGCGGAGCTTGCAGTGAATGAGATCGTGCCACTGCACTCCAGCCTGGGCAACAGAGCCAGACTCTTCTCAAAAAAAAAAAAAAAAAAAAAGTTATATCTGCATCTGGTAGAACTTTCAAAACCTGCCTTCTTCATGGAGTAAATTCAGTTAGTCAATTCTGTTTTAAACATTAACTGTAAAATTATCCTCTCTGGCTAAACAGGTTTTAATTTATAACTCACAGTTAGTGACATACTAAAAAAACGCAATTACTACTAAATGAAAAGTTCATTCATATGGACTTTATTTATTCAGCATGGAATAATTTCCCCCTGTGAACATTCTGTTGATTTGTAGGAAAAATGAATTAATTCAAAGATGAGGAGTATATGAAGTGTAAGAATTTGTCAAGTACCTCTCATTCTTGACCTTGAGATTTGAATTCTTGGCACACAGCTGGGACTGCATTTACATCTCAACACCAGCTCCAGAACCCCACTCTGTAGTCGTGGGAAGGGTAGTTGGGAAGGTTTCTGGCCATTTGCTCACTTAATATAATCCCAAGTTGCTCAGCTAACTAGCCAGGGAGCTCAGCTCTCTCTGAGTTAAGGGGTAATGTCCCATGGGCCCACACTGTGAGTGACAACAGCTGTCAGCTCAACTGTGATGCAAGTGTGATTTTCTTCACTTGTATGACATTATTTTGATACCTTGTTAATTACTCACAAAATATGATCCATTTGCAGTGTTTCTGTTATGAGATATATATTGTGAGGCTGCCTCTTTTCAGAGATGATCCATGTTGCCTGCTTTGTGCATGTAGCTCCCAAAGTACAAAACTATTGTTTTTACTGTTATAGGCTGTTTTGTTTTAACCTTAAAGTCCCAAGAGTTACATTGGTGCCTAACTTGGTATCTAAGATCCCACATTTTAAAAAGCCCTCCAAATTGTACCCCAAAGTTACTTGTAAACATGCTCAACTAAGCATGTATGTGTGAGCCACACTTAAACTTCAGCCATGATGTGTACAATAATCATTGCAGATAAGGATTTTAAGAAAGCACTTTTAAATCATTTTCAAATAGGGCTACAAATAAAGGCTATTTACTATTTCATTCCCAAATTCAGTAACGTAGAAGACTAGCTCCTCTGAGATTATTTTGAAAACCTGAATTTTATAAAGCAATAAAATTAGAAAACTTTGGGGACACAAAATGACATCCTACAGAGTTAAAATTAAAGACCTTTGCTGTTCCCTTTACATAAAGTTTTCAAAACCTGAAAATACTGAAAATTCACTTTTAAGTATCCTGAAAACAGGCCTGTAAGCATCTATCAGCCTTTCTTTGTTGTTGTTAACAAACAAACAAACAAACAAACAAAAATCTAATTGTATTAGTCTGTTCTCATGCTGCTAATAAAGATATACCCAAGACTGGGTAATTATAAAGAAAAAAGGCTTAATGGATTCACAGTTCCACATGGCTGGGGAGGCCTCACAATGATAGCAGAAGGTGAAGGAGAAACAAGACACGTCTTATATGGCAGCACGCAAGAGAACCTGTGCAGGGAAACTCCCCTTTATAAAACCATCAGATCTCGTGAGACTTATTCACTATCATGAGAAAAGCCTGAGAAAGATCTGCCCGCATGATTCAGTTACCTCCCACAGGTTCCCTCCCATGACACGGTGGGAATTATGAGAACTACAATTTAAGATGAGATTTGGGTGGGGACACAGCCAAACCATATCACTAACTCACAAAGTAGAAACATATGTTACTCAAATACCAGACCTAAAAATCCTACTTAGGGACAGATAAGGGGTATGAAGTTATCTTTTTTAGTCAAAATTTTAAGCTACGCAAAAAATAGCAATGGGCACTTTGGATGACAGAGTCACAAATAATGGATGTTTATGTTTGGATAGGTGTTTGTTTGTTTGTTTTTTTGAGACAGAGTCTCGCTCTATCGCCCAGGCTGGAGTGCAGTGGCACGATCTCGGCTCACTGCAAGCTCCGCCTCCTGGGTTCATGCCAATCTCGTGCCTCGGCCTCCCGAGTAGCTGGAACTACAGGCGCCCGCCACCACACCTGGCTAATTTTTTGTATTTTTAGTAAAGACGGGGTTTCACCGTGTTAGCCAGGATGGTCTCGATCTCCTGACCTCGTGATCCACCCGCGTCAGCCTCCCAAAGTGCTGGGATTACAGGCGTGAGCCACCACACCCGGCCAGGATAGGTTTTAACTTCTTAATCACCTCTTACATCAAATTCCTATACTGTTTTAAGGTTTGCCCTGTATACCACATGGCAGAGCTTCCAGTGGAGTCCTGTGCTGCGTTCCAACTGGGGCTCCCTGAGCAGGGAGGCCTCCGTCACCTCCTCACCTGGCTGTGCTGACCAGGCTTCTGACCCCACTCCTGCCCTCCCTCTGCCATCTTCCCCTCTGTTGGTCTTCTGCATGCTAGCTACTTCCTCTATTATTTGTAATACATGTAAATTTTTCACAATTGATGTTGTGTTTAGTTGAAGAAAAATAGTGTATACATGTTGATAGTCTCTAGATCACTTAAATAGTTCTTATTTCCAAATATTTTGAACTAAAGTTATTCTCTCCCTGTTGATATCAAACAGCAGTGGTTTTTAATGTTTTTTAAAATTTGTGGAATCTTCAAGTCAGGTATGATCTTAAGATGCTCCATTATATTAAGAAGGAAGGGGAGGAGAGGGAGAAGGATGTGGGGGAAGAGGAACAGCTGCTCTTTTAAAAATGGTATGAGGGTGGGCCCCCACCCCAGCCAACCTTGCCTGTCGCTCCAGCTCCCCCTCTTCTGATCAGTTCACACAGGCTTTTCCATGCCTTGGCCTTTGAAATACTTGAAAAGTTGTGATTCTCATGGCCCCTAACTCTTCTCTGAATGCAGACTAAATGCTCATTAACACCATGTAATTATGGAAGTCTTGGCCCTGAGCTGGTGGTGCAGTGCTGGAGAGCCAGGATAGGGGGCTGGGGGCATGGGGAGGGTAGGGAATGCTGCGGATTCTTCCCAGCCCCTCAGGTTCCCCTCAAAGGATCTCTCCCGAGGCCAAATACAGGCCCCTGGGGCTTTCTGTCAACTTCATACCCCAGTTCTCTGCTGGTCGTCCTTCCACCACAGCCAGGAGGCCTGTCACAACCTCCCGGCCCCTCTTCTGTTACTTCTCTGGGTCCCATGGTGAGGGGCACTGGGGTGCTCCCCGCCTCTGCCACTCCAGCATGGACTATGATGTCCCTCACGGCCTGGAAGGTCAGTGTCCTTTAGAATCTTCACTCTTTACCAGGTCCTTAGCTGTGTACTCAGCAGTGGGAGACAGCGGCCAGAGGCTGAGATCCAACCCTGCTCAAGGCAGAGGTGGGTCATGGTATTCAGGCCAGGCCTCCAGAAGGTCACACTACCTCTTGGTGACACTCTGTGTCAGGTGCTGGTCAGTTTCCATAGTGTACCCTGCTCCCTGTTCCCCTAACAATCCTGAGAGGCAGGCATGCTAGGCCCCCAATATTATAGTGGGCGGCAGCAGATTCCAAGAATTCTGAAAGTGTGAGACCTCCAACTGTTCTTTTTCAACATTGGCTGGTTCAGGGTCCCTTGAGGTTCCCTATGAATTTTAGGATGGATTTTTGTTTTCTGCAAAAAAAGGCATTGGGATTTTAATAAGAATTGTATTGAATTTGTAGATTGCTTTGGGTCATATTGACATATTACCAGTGTTAAGATTGCTTAAAAAGCAATAACCGACTGCTTATTGCAAATCTAAAAGGTGACAAGATGACCTAAATTAAATGTTCTTCAAAATTTCTGAACCTCTGTCACTATGTGACTGAAGCTGTTCCTGTTTCTTTCTTCTCCCCTCTGTATCTTCCTCCCTGTTTCCCCTTCTTTCTTTTAAAAATGACCACAATATAGTAACGGAGCATGCCATATTTCATAGTTTTATGTATGTAATTGGTTTTGCTAGCCACATGTCAAGTTATTGTGTCACTTGGGACAAAGAAAAAAAGAAATGTGTTGAAAATTCAGCTGTCTCAGAAACCTAATAATCAGCTGCATGCTAATGGATATATTTATCTAAAGTTTGTCAATATAATTAGAGAACCTTGATGGCAGACCCAGTAATCACGTCATGTGGGGTTATCTTGCGTATGCTGCTCTTTCACATTAACCTGTTTTTGGTTAACCTGTTTTTGGTAAGACACTTATTTTTTGATGATTGAAAAAGGGAAACAGCAGTTGTATCTGTTTTCTTTTAGGTGCTTGCCCAGCTACTGTGAGCATGGGGGCGAGTGTTCCCAGTCGTGGGACACCTTCTCCTGTGATTGTCTGGGCACAGGCTATACGGGCGAGACCTGCCATTCCTGTAAGCCTCACACCTCCCTCTCGTTTCTGTCAGCATCTCTTTGTCATTTCATTTTGATTAGTTGTTTATATGTATCTGCATATTTGCAATCATGCAAACACATCAGAAGAGATATTTCAGCATTCAATTTCTAGTTTACTTTTAATCCACCTTATTTAATACAAGGGTGTTGAGACAGTGCACAGAAATACGTGGTACACATAGGATTGAAAAAAGAAACTGGCAAGCAATGGGGAAATAAGTCTAGGAGAATCAGATATAGTAAAAGGTAGAAACTAAATTAAATTAAAAATGCATGATGTTAACAGCTTGTTCCATTACTTGAGTTGGACCATAATTTTAATTCTGAGAATCTTCTCAGTCAAAGAAAGGTGGAAAAACAACCCCTTGCCAGGCTGTCAATGTTGCATTTAAGGTATTTAAAGATTTTTTAACAATCACTGGGATGATGCAATCATGGGATTGTACATGGCAAGATTTTTGAAGAGGTAATGGGATATCAGCTAGAAACTAGAGGACCTTTAAGATCTCTTACAATGACTGTGATTTTCTTTGGTGGTGGTGATGATGATTGTAAAGTGAATAATTGTAAAAGTATTAATGTATTGAGTACTTATGTCAGCCCTCTGCTATTGCTTTGCATATATTAACTCATTTAACCCTAAAGCAGCTGGAAGAAAGTACTATTATCTTCATTGCAGAGTTGAGGACAGAAAGAGGTTAAGTAACTTGGCCCCCAGCTAGTTTGTGGGAAGATGAGGAGTTGAGCTAAGGAGGTTGGCTCCACAGCCTTGGCTCCAGGATGCCTGATTGGTGGTCCATGCACCAGCAGCACCCACAGCCCCTGGGAACCTGTTGCAAGTAAAGACTCTCAGGCCTTACCCAAACCTACTAAATCAGAATCGCTGGAGATGGGGCCCCGAGTCTCTTGTAACCAACCTTCCTCATGCTTCTGGTAGACATTTAAGTGTAAGAACAATGTCTAAGGGATGGCATATTCTAACACTTCTCAACTGCCTCTGCCATATTAAAAATCATCTGTCTTTACTGAAGAATCACCCTCTGTGAATTTCAAAGGCCATGCCGTTTTATTGACCTCTAACCTGTTATAATTAGAACATCACAGAATCTGAAAAGCCTTTTTTTTCTTATTTGTTTTTAACTTTTAGAGTTTTCTTTCTGTATATCTCTACTGACGTTTCTGAGCAACTTCTCCTCAGGAATATTTCGCCCATCCCTGGGTCTTCAAGGAAACAGAGATGCAAAGTCCTCAGTTCCACTTGCTCATCCTGAGTTCCTAATTGAAACTTTTAAGAACTCTTCCGTGAGACATTTGATTTTCACAAAAGCCACAGGAGAAAGGCAGGCTGTGGAGTGTTAAAACCACACTTCATACTTGCAATGAGAATTCTGCGCTCCCAGTCCTGAGGTTCTGTAAAGGATCTGGGCAAAAGAGGAGACAGTCCAGGAGTGACTCTCACAGATTGAAGCATGAAGTATGATTTTTGTACTAGAAGGGTCCCTGTTTATAAAGCTGTGACACATTTTCTTTTTTTTGTTTGTTTGTTTTTTGTTTTTTGAGATGGAGTCTTGCTCTGTCGCCCAGGCTGGAGCCCAGTGGCATGATCTCAGCTCACTGCAAGTTCCGCCTCCCAGGTTCACGCCATTCTCCTGCCTCAGCCTCCCGAGTACCTGGGACTACAGGCGCCCGCCACCACGCCCGGCTAATTTTTTGTATTTTTAGTAGAGATGGGGTTTTGCCATGTTAGCCGGGATGGTCTCGATCTCCTGACCTTGTGATCCACCTGCCTTGGACTCCCGAAGTGCTGGGATTACAGGCATGAGCCACCATGCCCAGCCGCTGTGACACATTTTCTAGGAGTTGAGTGGCCTCTCACACCAGAGGCTGAATGTCTTGATAAGGTCATAGAGTTGGTGCAGGGACCACATCTTTTACTTCTGTGTATCTTTCATCCTCCAGGCATAGTATCTTACCTAAAAGCAGAAGCCTAATCTTGTGTGTTACCTGGAAAATTTATATCTGCCACCACACTCAGCATTGTCTGATTGCATTTAATATTGCAATTAATCAATGAGTTATATTAGTCCATGGTTATTCACTGCAATCAAAATATAACTCCAAAAACTTCTGAGGGAAAATATCAGGAGATTGAAAAAGTATTTCAAGTGTCAGTCTCATCTAATAATTGATGGCTATAGGTAGAAATTTGCCAAGCCCACAGTCATTCACTGTGAGACTAGACTGCCACACCTAGTTGAATAGGTTATTTTGTATTTCTAATTGTATAACATGTATCAATTATGTGCAACTAATTAATTGTATATAATTATTAATTGTATATAACTCATTGTATATAATTAATTATACAATTAAAATCAATTGTATTCAATTAATATATACTATACATTAATACATGTATACATTATCATTTAAAAAGCCAAACAGTTCACATAAAGCACAAGTTCTAGTCACTTTCCTCAATATTTGTCTCCATTCCAAACCTAGTCTGTGCCCTATATTTAAGTATTGTTATTAATTTGAGTGAATCCCACCAGACATATACAAATATATGTATCTATTTAAATCAATATGCCATAAGTGGCAAAAAAATAAAGATTAGCAATGTCCATCTCCTGCAGATATTAATTCCATACCTTGTACTTGGTAAAACATTTACTTGCACAAATGAAAATACTCAATTATGCTAGAGTAAATTTACATTATATAGGGATGTCTTTCAAAAAAGTTTCTCTCCTGTTTTGAATTTCGGCTGTCTTGAATTGTCACTTGCAAAATACTTAGGGATGTTTCTTTTTTAAATCAGCTTTAATTATTTTTTAATGACGAGAAGTTGATAGCTTATAAATTCCATTTATCTCTTTAAAATGCTCATTCATATTGTTTTAAAGGAAGCAAAGGGTATAACTGCCGCATAGCTTAAGAAAAACTTTACAGAATGCTTATGGGAAAATACCAGATTATTTAGGCATTTTAATGTGCTTAGGTATTCAGTTATTACAGGGAGAATGAGGGTTTCTTCCTTAATTATAGAGTTTAATTCTGAGGTATAGTTGCCATGAGTTTGGAAAGAACCATGCTTCAATAGCACGCAGAATTC